>NC_000015.10:86744308-86895823 GCF_000001405.40 Homo sapiens | reverse complement strand
AAATAAAGACAGATTATCTTTAAATAAGGGACATTTAGATCAACAATAAATTTTCCATAAAAACAAATTAAATAAGGGAAACTAGGTGAAAGGAACTTTCTGTGGTATCTTTGCAGTGTTTCTATAAATATAAAATTATTCTAAATTTAAAGCTTAATTTGCAAAAGCAAAAACAAACAAATAAATAAAAATGTTAAAGCGAGGCAGAAAAAAGAAATTAATTATGTCTTGTCAATGCTGAGGGAAAATGAACCCCAAACTGCAATTCTATACTCAAAAAATCCCTTTATTTCTTTTGCATGAGTAAATACATCTTCCCATGGAGAAACCACTGCTAAAAAGAACTACTATAGTATATAGCTTAGTAAGAAGAAAACGGAGCTCAAGAAATACACGCAAATGCAAAAATAATTAAAAAAAAAAAAACTAAACATGTCAGATAAAGAACTGGAAAGTCTACTCTTGTAGGCTGACAGTGGTTATACTTAGACAATGAGAATAAGATGACATAAGGTACAGGTTATTTTTTATGTATCAATATTTTCTATATTTTTCTCAAGGCTTAAAATGAGTATTTTAATGAGAAAAAAAGAATATAATGTTTTACATCTAAAAACAAAAAAGTAAGGCTGGGAAAAGAAAAGAGGGGGGAAAGAGAAAGAAGAAAAGAGTAAAAAGAGAAAGAGAAGAAAGTAGAAGGAAGAAAGGAAGGAAAAAAGAAAGGGAAGGAGGGAAGATAAAAGAAAGGGAAGGAGGGAAGATAAAAGAAAGAAGGAACAAAAGGGGATGGATATGAAAAGATGAAACACTGTTGTTAGATGTCCCTGGCAAGTGGTCAGAGTCACTGTGTCCTGCCACCACTTAATCCATTATCTTATTCCCTTTGAACAAAGTTGTTCAGATCTAGCAAAATGCAATAAAACTGCCTTGACACTCCTGCCAACCTTTCTATCTTGAAGGTAAAGCTTGCATTCAGCTCTTTGAAATCTTCCTTGAGAACATCAGCCTCTCCCTTCTTTAACTTGTTTGAGCACTTTGTTGGACCACTCTCTTTGACTAGATACTTCTATTTTGTTTAATATGACTGGCAGTGGTAAGAAGCAATTCTGTGTGTGGTGGCCTCCTACTGGTTTCACCACTGCTCCTTGTACTGCCTTTGTGCCCAGGGCAGTGTGGAATACTTAATAGATACCAAATCACCTCCAATCTTATTAACTGTTTGCTCATTCCAGATAATTCCCCATTCTCATAAACAGCCTCACACTTAAGTTAGCCTAGCGGTCCAGAAGAGCAACACAGCCCGTGTCCAGGAGAACCTTCTTCTAAGGGCAGCATTCTACATGCCAGAGAGCAGACAGCAGCTTCTAAAATAAAGCTCCAACGTCATGCAGAGTTGCTCTCTCTGCAGCTCAGATTCAGCTCCCTCAGGATGAAATACATATGTTAAGGCATGGTTACAATAACTTCAGCAATAGTAGGGTGTTAGCTATTCTCTCTCTCTCCTCCCTCTTGATTTTTCAAACCTGATGAATTCAATTCATACTCACCATTTGCAACTGAAGTTAAATATAAATGAAAGAAAATAGCATTATAGCATCATGCAGAAATCAAACGGTAGTTCCACTGATAGAGTGGGCCTTAATATTGAGATGTGGGAAATACATGGAGAAAACACCTGAAAATTGATTTTATTTCCTCCTTTCACTAGGAAGCTTTGATGTCCTGTAAACACACATTCAAAAGTGAAGTCACTTTAGGCGGTATTGGAGAGTCATGGTGTAGGGGCAAAATATAAATCAGAAACAAAACATAAAATTAGAGTCAGATAAGTAATTGTGGGTTTGAATTCTTCTCCAAATACCAAGTGAGAAACAGGAATTTGCCTTCTCTGAGCTTTGTTGTCTTCATGTGTAAAATGGGAATCTTATTGTTTTTCTTCTTGAAATGATATACATAGAAATGAATGCCATAGCATAAAACCTCTTCTTCTTGAAATGATGCACTTAGAAACAAATGCCATAGCATAGAACCTCACACATAGTCACTCGACTGAATTTTTATTCCCCTTTCCTTTCCACAGAGTTTGGAGACAAAGTATGAAAATAATTTTCTCCTGGCAAGTTCACCATCCTCATCCTCAAACATAAACCTATATAAATGCAGCTTTCAGACAATCTCTAAGCAAAGCCATTAAGAAGACTCTATCCCTTGCCATTCTTCCAAGCCAGCCTATACAGCAATTTGCAACTTTATGATGTGATAGAGTTTCTTTGTTTTGATTTTTCATTTGCATATTTATTGAGATATGACGATCTTAATTAGTTCTGCTTTTTTTGTTTTGTTTGTTTTCTTGGTTGGGAAAAGACAGCTTCCTATAGTGAAAAATAATTCTGCATGCTAACAGGGTGAACAAAACCCAGCCTGTGGCATTCCTTAATGTTGATGGTGATTTAAACGCAGTTTTGCGGATTCTTTTTATCACTTGTTTTCTCTTTAAATGCTGAGGTAATGCTCAAGACTTGGGTGAATGCCAGACCTCAAGAGGCAGCCACCTACTGAGAAGCAAGAGGCGAACACTTAAAATTCCAGACACTCAGATTCATCCAGCATACTCTCCCAGCTACCTGTCACCCATCTCCCTCCTGAAAAAGCTGAGCTCCACCGAATGTCTCCTTCTAATGAAACGCAACTCTGGCTGCATCTCAGTTTTTGCAGGCGAGAAAAGAGCAACTCTGAATTCCCTGGGTGAGTGAGTCCCCGAGGCAGTATTTAGCAGCATTGCCCACACCCTGCTATTCTCCCTTGACCTTCTATCTATTTTCTCCAGGAGCAGAGCTGTGTGAACGCTGTGCTCCATCTAAGAGGCACGAGCAGCCTATTACACAACTCATCCACACTTACAGACACACTGAGTATGCTCACCATGAATGTCTCACCATCATCACCCGGGACAGTTAGCATGGTTCCCTAGGGTTTTGTGTTTGTCAGGTACTTCACACCATCACAAAGTGTGTCCCTGAGTTAACACATTTAAGAGGAAGGACATAATTTATTACTCTCCGGTTTTTTTTTCTTAACTCCAGTAATGGAGCATTTTCTATGTATAGAGAAGAGCACTAGGCACTGTTGAGAAAAGAATAAGAATAAACATTGCCAATCACCTACTGTGTGCCAGGTGCTTGGCCATTGTTCTCTCTTAAAATATAAGCAAATAAACAAATCTATGGGGTAGATCTTATCAATCCTACTTAACAATTGGAAAAAGAGATTTAGAAGTTTAGATAATTTTCCCAATATCTTAAAGCTGCACATGGCATAGAAAATGTGTGATAATTAGATAAGACCAAGGGTTCCTATATCCCTTGATTCAATCAACAAATATTTATAGATAAGGTCTACTCTGCCTGAGGAAGAACTGGAATGAGGTATTCATTCAGCCCCAATCGAAGTCATGAACTCTGTTACATGATCTAGAGCTCTAGAAAAAAATCCAGTCATTCCCACATAAAAAGTAATGGAAATAAATGTCCTATTTCTTATTGAACAAGTGTACCCTACATAGTGTGGGGAGATGCAGTCCAAACTCTTTATGAAAATGGGAATGTAGAATAAAACAGGAAGGAAGTGGGAGAGAGTGGGTTAATGAGGAAAAGAATGAAAGCAAAAGAGAGGGAAAGGAGAGACGGTGTTTGACCTGTTTAGTCAAACTTGCTGAATCAATTCATCAGCAAGTGCTTTTCTCTTAAGTTCTCATAACTTATGAAAAAATGGGTTGACCTAAGTGGTCTAAAGGAAAAGATATATAAGAGGCTGGTTCACTGAGAGTATGGTCAATAGCTAAAAGTTTAGCATTTACATGAGAGGACCTCTGAGTACTGAGTGGCCCATTGATGTTTCAGACATGTAATTCAAACTATTTACCTAATTAGTTGATGAAACTCCACTGAACCAAACCACATTCATTTGCTCATTCCTTCTGTTTAGAAACTTATTCAGTGTTAAAATACAGCTGGGCTTTGGTGTGCATGGTTGGCTGTAATGTGTAGCTAAGGGACCAGGAGAAGTTAACAAATTCGTATAGGTATCAAAATCAAGGTCATAATGACCCATGTCACTTGAGTAGAGAAGGTGCTTGTGGGCAACCCAGTTTTTCACTTTACCAATGAATGATGGTGCTGTTGCTCAAGCTACTATTGTTTCAGCATTCAAAAGATACCCACTCCCTTGCTTGTTTTTTTTTTTTTCCTCATTATTTCTTGTTGAATGGTGTCAGACACATTCTACTGGATATCTGTGGGTCATTGCTAAAATGAGACAGTGTAATCAGGTATGGCTAAGATATTTTACCATTTGGTATAATACATTCCCTCAAGCAGTGGGACACATGGTGCAATGTCAGATCTAATGAATCAAGGAAAACACTTTACAGGGAGATGGGACCATCTCACTCAACTACACTGCTGTAAAACTCATCAATGTCATTCTAAAACTTACAGAGGAACATTTTCTCATTGTCTGAAAAGAAATCAAAGCATCCAGCCCAAAAGCTTCTTAAGCTGATAAGAAATTTCAGCAAAGTCTCAGGATACAACATCAACGTACAAAAATTGCTAGCATTCCTATACACCAACAACAGGCAAGCAGAGAACCAAATCATGAACGAACTCCCATTCACAATTACTACAAAAAGAATAAAATACCTAGGAATACAGCTAACAGTGGAAGTGAAGGACTTCTTCAACTACTGCTCAAGGAAATCAGAAAGGACACAAACAAATGAAAAAACATTTCATGTTCATGGATAGGAAGAATTAATATAGTGAAAATGGCCATACTGTCCAAAATAATTTATAGATTCAATGCTATTTCCATTAAACTACCACTGACATTCTTCACATCTTCACAGAATTAGGAAAAACTATTTTAAAATTCATATGAAACTAAAAAAGAGCCTGCATAGCAAAGATAATCCTAAGCAAAAAGAACAAAGGTGGAGGCATTATGCTACCTGACTTCAAACTATACTACAAGGCTACAGTAACCACAACAGCATGGTACTGGTACCAAAACAGACACATAGACCAATGGAATAGAATAAAGAACTCAGAAACAAGACCACACACCTACAACCATCTGATCTTCAACAAACTTGACAAAAATAAGCAATAGGGAAAGAATTCCCTATTTAATCAATGGTTCTGGAAAAACTGGCTAGCCATGTGCAGAAAATTGAAACTGGACCTCTTCCTTATACCTTACACAGAAATTAAGATGGGCTAAAGACTTAAATGTAAATCCCAAAACTATAAAAACCCTAGAAGAAAATATAGGCAGTACCATTCAGGACACAGGCACAGGCAAAGATTTTATAAGAAAAACACCAAAAACAACTGCAACAAAAGCAAAAGTTGACAAATGGAGTCTAATTAAACTAATGAGCTTCTGCATGGCAAAAGAAACAATTATCAATCAGAGTGAAAAAACAACCTACAGAATGGGAGACAATTTTTGCAATCTATCCATCTGACAAATGTCTAATACACAGAGTCTACAAGGAACTTAAACAATTTTACAAGAAAAAAAACATTAAAAAGTGGGCAAAGGATATGAACAGACACTTCTCAAAAGAAGACATTCATGCAGCCAACAAACATGTGCAAAAAAAGCTCAACATCACTGATCATTAGAGAAATACAAATCAAAACCACAGTGTGATACTATCTCAAGCCAATCAGAATGGTGACTATTAAAAAGTCCAGTAACAACAGATGCTGGCAAGACTGCAGAGAAAAAGGAACACTTTTACACTGTTGGTGGGACTACAAATTAGTTCAACCATTGTGGAAGACAGTGTGGGTGATTCCTCAAAGATCTAGAGGCAGCAATATCATTTGACCCAGCAATCCCATTACAGGGTATATACCCAAAGGAATATAAATCATTCTATTACAAAGATACATGCATATGTATGTTCATTGCAGCACTATTCGCAATAGCAAAGTCATGCAATCAACCTACATGCCCATCAATGATAGACGGAATTAAGAAAATGTGGTACACGTACACCATGTAATACTATGCAGCCATAAAAGGAATGAGATCATGTCCTTTGCAGGGACATGGATGGAGCTGGAAGTCGTTATCCTCAGCAAACTAATACAGGAACAGAAAACCAAACACCACATGTTCTCACTTATAAGTGGGAGCTGAACAATGAGAACACATGGACACATGGAGGGGAATAACACACACTGGGGCCTGCCGTTGGGGGCCAGGTGGGGGAAGGGAGAGCATCAGGAAGAATAGCTAATGGATGTTGGGCTTAATACCTAGGTGATAGGTCGATCTGTGCAGCAAACCACCATAGCACATGTTCACCTGTGTAAGAAACCTGCACATCCTACACATGTACTTGAGAACTTAAAATAACAGTCAATGAAAAATAAAACACAAATACCCCCCACCCACCCCCCAGAAAAGAAGATCAGAGCATCTGGAAAGAAATATAGATTTGCCGAAAGCACTTAGATTTCAGTTTAATTTTTGGTCAAACTTTCTATAGTAAGCGGTATCGCCACCCTAATTTTCTATTAGAAGGTCTTTTCTATCTTATATGCTTCAAAACAACAGAGATAAAATGGGTTACTGGATGTCAACTAAGCCACATAAGGATAAACTATGGCATGGGAAAGGTCAGGAATGACTTTTCAGTGAACGGAAAACAAATTATAAACGTTGTAAAAGTAAACATAGGATTTAATCCTTTGAAAAGTTAAAAGATAATATGCATTTATTTTCTGACCTAAATTTATAGATGTCTCCTTTAGTGCCAGTCTTTACTTGTTATATAACTCTTACTAAGTGCTTATATATTGTTAGTCTTGTCCCAGAAATTAACGCCATCTATTGCTCCAGCCAATGAATGTAGCATGCCATTCAGCGCTTTGCTCATTTCCAAAAGTGCTCATTTTTAACTCCTCTGCAGCTTTCTCTTTCTGACATTATTTTATGTTCTGATTAACAGTTTTGACTCATAATGGCTCATGAAAGACGTGCAAATAATAATGCTAGAGGTACATAGACATGAATGCTATGTTTTAAAGCAGCTTGAGGCCATAAGCACATTTAAGGAAATGAAGGGTAAGGCAACAGATGGAAAATGTCCAAGGTCAATGTATATCCCCAATGAGATCTCTGAGAAATCCCCTCACGCTGAGCTTTAGGACCACCCCACTCCCTCTCATCCTCAGAAAACTTCATTTTATACCTAGATCTTCGTTGGTTACCATTTTCTCCTCAAATTATTGACACACATACATCTTAGATATAATTCTAGCTAACAAACCTCGCAAAGAATCGACAGTGTGAATTTCAGCATCAATATTACCTTTAAAATAAAGGTATATGATTCATCTGTAGCTCTACAGTTTATGTGGATTGGTGCATTCTTTTTTTTTTTTTCTTTTGAAGAGAGCTCCAGTCTTCTGAATATTTAGTTTCCACTGGACAGCCTAATCTCTTTCTATGAGGTAGCCCTAAGGTGAGTGGTGCTGGCCAGGTCACTTCTGATACAATCAGACCCATCACCGGGCTTGTTAGAATGAATGGTGCTGAGGTTGCCTCAGACTAAGGCAACAGGACTGGTCTTGGTCCATGTAGTTCTCGTTTCCCTGCTGGTCCCAGGGACTGAAGTTTTTGATCTCTGTGGGCCCAAACGAAAAGAATCCAGCTTCCCAAGCCTTGATGCTCCCGCAAGATGCACCTCCTTTTTCTCATCTTTGGCATGTAGAGGCAGCCGGAGTGGTGAGAGATTGTAACTCTAACCTCTTCTTCATTGTTATATTTTTCTCATTCTTTTCCAGAGGGTTTAGAGTAAATGGAAGGCAAATTAAAGCTTCCTGGGGCTTATACACATCATTATGAATCTATACCTCTGTGTAGTGACCCCCTTATCCAAGGATCCAGAGGGGGTATATGTTTTCTTTCTTTCTTTCTTTCTTTTTCTCTATTTATACTAATTCAATTGGAGAATTGTCGAAGTCCTTTGACATTATAACACTGCCTTCTGTGAGGTGCATATTCCTAATTGTATGATCTGCGGCTAAAAGAATCTTGGTGAGGTGCATGGAACAATGTCAGGGAATTAAAAGTGAAATGACAATTGTAAAGTTCAATGTCAGAAACTCATCTCTATAGGGACTATGTTTTAAGGACTTGTGTAGCTTTTATTCAAATGGTATTTCTATTTTCACAAACACTTCCTCCTCACTCAACTCATAATGCCTGTACATGCTAGGAACTAAAAGCTTAAAATGAAAGCATAGCAGAATATGGCTTGAGAGAGATGCTTAAACAATACTAGAGGTGCAGGTATAAACTGCGCAAAAGCCCTGTTGAGCTCAGTGAAGTCTGAGTTCAGGCAGGTGGATGTGAGCAGTTAGGCAGGTGAGTGTTAATGAAAGAGATGCTTATCCTTAGAATTGAGGTCTATAATAGGAAGAGTTTAAAAGTAACAGCCAAGATAGATCGATTTGATAGATAAATGATAGATAGGTAGGTAGATAGATACATACATAAATAGATATATGCATAGATGGAATGACAGAGGATAGATGGCAGAATGATAGACATATATATCTTTACACATATACCTTTACATATATGTACCTTATTATTTCTATTTGTTTTAATAAATTATGTTTATGAATCAGAATCCTTACATAAACAGTCTAATTGGAATTTACTGAGTGTTAATATCTTAGACACATATTATGAGCAAAACCTTCTCACTGTGGGAACTCTGTGAGCATTCCACTAACCTTGGGCATTCTCTGCCCCTTAAGTTAATAGAGCTTTGATCTGTGTCATCTTCTGTTTTGGAGACTTGGTATTACACACTTGGCGAGAGAAAGGAGCTTCCAAAACCTCGTCTTTACTTATTTCTTCGTCTGAGTTTTCAACTACATGGTCCTACCTAATCCCTTCATTAGAATTAACTTGATCTCTCACCTCTCCTCAAATACGGTTGGGGCCTTGCTGTTCTCCGACTGGGTCCAAGCTGACTCTAGCTGGAATGCCATCCTTCTTGCCACGGCTAATTGAAAACTCTACCACAGCTTAAAATAAACCCAATGTTACCTCCTCCATAAAAACATCCATGATCATGCAGATTAGAAATAATTACCCATTTGATTTTAATGCATTTATTCACCGTATGGTCCCTTAGAAGCCAGAGACACATTTCTATTAATTCATAATCCTTATGGTTCTTATCCTTTGTCTTATATATAGAATATGCCCAAAACAAATGCTAATTAAAGAAAGGCAGAATAATTCTCTTCTTTAAACTTGAGAAATATACACTCCACTTCCAGATTAGGGATAACCAAATATCTCTGCTGCTTTCATTACACCATACACAGAAATGGAAGGGGCAGGAGTGTTTAAGAGAATTCATACCTTAAACTGTTAAACTGCAAAAGTGATAGTGCTAACGTGGGCCATTTCTTCCCAAAATAACTTGCTATAACTTCAAGTTAATTGGCAATTTTATAGATGATTTTAGTACACTTGCCATAGGCAAATATACTAATATAAACTACAAACATTTGTATGCTATTTTACTGTCTGTTCTATCTTTGTGTTTTATTTTGCTTCTTACTTCATATGAAGTATGAGAACAGGATGTTTACAGTTTCGATAAAGAAAGTACAGATGGATAGAAGTCCAAAACTTGCAGGATGGGGTGGATGTTTAAGAGGCTATATGAAAAAAACCAAAAAATCAGCAATGCTATTTAAAGACTCTATTTTGTTATCTTGGAACTGTTTCCCAAATTCTATGTTTCTATCAGGCCTTTAGGTTTCAGATAAAAGGATTTAGTGTTGCTATTGTTACAGACTAAAAGAATTCTTTACACAGGCCTTTTTGTTGTAAGAGCAAAATCAAATCTGCTTGCTTTCTGAAACACCCAGGGATTCGAAGTTTACAGAGCAATGAATTTCAGTCTCAGTTGTAGGAAGAAAACCAGATGGCTCTTGGGCTCAGAGCATGGAGTAAGTTATGCTACCACCTACCATTGACTCTGGAGTAAAACCATAATTTTGTGGATGTCTTATTCTATTTTAGTTAGAAGTAACACATTTACAGTTATCTATATCTTATTGCTTTTTTCACATACATTTTTCCTGACAATGAAATTATATTACAGTCAGGTAGCATGGCCATAGATGCTAGTACTATAAACATCATTGGGAGAAATCACTGTGTAAGTGAAATAAGAATGAAGCATTTATGTTTATTAAATATAACATGATATAGAGAGTGTCACTCTTTTTTACTTTTAAGTAGGTAAATAATCAACGTATGGTATTTTAATAGTTGTGAAGTATTTAGAATGGACTCCCATATTGTTCAAGTCAGCTGCTGAAAAACCTTGTCTTTTCACAAGATGTGTGAGCGAAAGCTGTCAGTACCTTCAGAGGGAGGTTACCCCAATCTGATAAACAAATTTGAATTTATCCCACATTCAGTTCTATAGTAATTTCATTACTATATGCCACATACAATATTATAAAATAATTTAAGATAATGCATAATATGTTACAGCAACTTGGTATAAGAAAGGAGTGAATTAATATACTTAACAAAACCATGATATTGTATTATAAGAATCATAACAAAGAACAGTATATGTATGTAAAGTTATTTTACACATTATATATAATTAAACTAGGTTATATATTATAATTTATTTCAAAAGCTTTTTAAATGTAAATAAAAATAGCATTGTAAAATAGATGTTTCAGCATCATCTGGTAGCATATGTTCTATTAGGTAGTTCTTTTTTATTTACTAATTACTGAACAACACAGCAACCATGAGAAGAAGCACAATGCACAGTAAAGCACATCTTCCGTATCCGAGAGCTCGCTGAGAGGCATTTTGTGAGACACTTTAAATAAATTACCTCATTTTACTCAATGGCATTGCTTTATAGTTTGTTTGTTTTTGACACAAGGTCTGGCTCTATCACCCAGGCTGGAGTGCAGTGGTGCAATCTCAGCTCACTCCAGCCTCTGCTTCCCAGGTTCAAGCGGTTCTCCCACGTCAGCCTCCAGAGTAGCTGGGATTACAGGTGCACACCACCAGATCTGGCTGATTTTGGTATTTTTGGTAGAGGAAGGGTTTCACCATGTTGTCCAGGCTGGTCTCCAACTCCTGAACTGAAGTGATCTGCCTGCCTCGGCCTCCCAAAGGCTGGTATTATAGCCGTGAGCCACTGCACCCAGCCTATAGTTTGTTTTTAACTTTTTTATTTTAAAATGCAGTAGTCTCCTTTTATCTACAGTTTCACTTTCCAGGGTTTCAGTTACATGAGGTCAACCTCGGTCCAAAAACAATGAATGGAAAATTCCAGGAATAAACAAATCGTAAGTTTTAAATAGTGCACAGGTCTGTGTAGCGTGATGAGATCTTGTGTCGTCCCACTCCATCCTGGCCTGAACATGAATCCTCCCTTTGTCCAGGGAACCCACCCTGTGTATACTACCTGCCCATTCTGCCCATTAGTCACTCAGCCATCCTGGTTACCAGATCCATTGTCATTATGTTGAAGTACTTATGTTCAAGTAACCTTTGTTGGACTTAATAATGGCCCCAAAGTGCAATAATAGTGTTGCTGGTGATTCTGATGTGCCAAGAGTAGTAGTAAGGTCAAAAGGTGAAAGTTCTCAACTTAATGAGGAAAGAAAAGATATGCTGAAGTTTCTAAGATCTATGGTAAGGATGAATATTCTATCCATGGGTCTCAGAAGAAAAACAATTAGTGCATAGTATATATAGAGTTCAGTACTATCTGCAGTTTCAGGCATCCACTGGGGGGTCGTAGAACTTATCCCTCATGGAAAGGAGGGACTACTGTATACATATTCTGGTTCTGATTTGTTACCCAGTGTGCCTAGGCCATATAAATCCTAAATGCACTAAAATTCTTACAGTCACTAATTCATTTAATTTATCCATTCATTCAACAAACATATATCATTAGTCTACAAATTTTATTTATCTATTCATTAATTTAGAAAAAAAATGGAAGAAGGAAAGAAAAGCAACCTTTCTTCCACCTACCTACCATGTGCTAGGGATATTACTGGGCACAGGAATAGAAAAGAGCCTAGGAGTGGAGTCGGGGCGAGATGGGCTTGGAGATCAATTACGGTAGAGTTTGGTGAATGTTCTAGCAGAGGAACAGGCAATGCACCCTAGGAGCTCAGCAGATGGAATCAGTAACTCTGTCAGGGGGAGGCAGGAAAGGTGTCTCTAAAGAGGAACACGTGAGATTTTCTCCAGGTTCAGAAGCAAAGAATGGACACTACAGGGAGAAGACTCACACACACAAAATCCTGCATTATGGGAGACCATAGTGTGCACAGCGAATGCTGGTGTTGGAAGTGTAAGCTGTGTGTGGATTCTGGTGGGACTTGAAGCTAGGAAGAGGGAGGCCTGAAGCTGAGGAGCTGGTTAGCCAAGGAAAGAAAATCAGACTTAATTTTACAGGTCATTTTATGTTGTGTTTCTAAAGAAGATGCTGAAGCACACTCCATTTTATTAGCATTAGATGTAATTATTTAAATATAACTTGTTCAAAATTAGCTGTTTAATTTAAAAAACATAATTAATGGAAGCAATGTTTTAAATAATAATATTTGACATCTATTAATGAGGATATAATTAGATGTGCTATTAAAAACTTAATGCAATACCAATATTTTCTCATAAAGTAAAGTGAAGAATACTAACTACCAAGCAACTCTGCAACTCCTCTAAATTCATTTCACAATTCACATCTCTGGCAAGAATCACTCATATTTTAAAAATCTGTTTGAAATTTCTCCACATAAACTTATGTAAGTGTAAGAAAATTCTAGTACTATTTTCATTGGAAATATGTTTTTAAAAAGAAAAGAGAGAAAAGATTTCCATTAGGTTCCTGTCTAGTTTTTTTAATAAAGACCTCTCTCTCCTCTCAGACTTAGGAGGATTTAGAGAAAATGCCTCCAGTGAGTTGTCGTTTAGTTACAGAGTATCAGAAAGGGTCCAGACAAGACTGATCCAAACAGAGTTGGCCTTGAATTGATCCAGAAAAATAATGCCAACTCAACTCCATGGAGAACTTAGTAGGTGCAAATAACCCTACAGACCATTTTATATGCACTTTTACTTTAATTTTCAGACAAGCCCAGTTGGTTAACTATTATTAATATATCTAAATTTTATATGAAAAACAGTGAAGCTTAAAAAGGTGAGTGATTTATCTAAGGTCACTCAACTCAAAATTAGTAGTGTCAGAACCAACTCAGATTTGGCAGACAATTTTTTACTGGGAGAAATGGTGTAGTGACTTCAGAAAGGATAGAATTCAATTGATATTACAAAGAGGCATAAAATGTGTACATAGAGATGTTTTATTATTTGATTTGAACATCGCATTTCAGAGGTAAATATCTGATCTTCACTGTTGGTTACCCAGCAAATGACATCGATGGGACGTGAGATTTTGGATACCACCCCACTTATTTAATTCTGAGGAAGTGATTAGGAAACAAAGTACAGCAAGTTCTTCTCAAAAAACCATTGTCATGAGAGGCCAACACAGACTCGAGAACTAGGTAGCCGTGTCATGGTGACCTGTGTTAGACCGCGAATTTTTGCAGGTCAAGAGAGGTTGGATACGGGCAATTTCATAGTTTCCCATTTAATGCAAGTAGATCTTCTTACTGAAAGGTAACCGATATGGTTTGCATTTGTGTCCCCACCAAATCTCATGTTCAGTTATAATCCCCAGTGTTGGAGGTGGGCGCTGGTGGGAGGCGATTGGATCGTGGGGACAGTTTCTCATGGTTTACCACCATCCCCTTTTGGTACTACCTAGTGAGTGAGTTCTCATGAGATCTGTTTATTTAAAAGTATGTAAGCCTAGCCCACATGGCAAAACTCCATCTCTACTAAAAATACAAAAATTAGTCGGGCGTGGTGGCACACAGCTGTAATCCCAGCTACTTGGGAGGCTGAGGCAGGAGAATTGCTTAAAACCCGGGAGGCGGAGGTTGCAGTGAGCTGAGAGCACCCCACTGCACTCCAGCCTGCGTGACACAGTGAGACCCTATCTTAAATAAATAAATAAATAGCACTACCCCCTCTGCCATCTTCCTCCTCCCCTGGCCATGTAAAGGTATTTCTTTATACCAGTACAAGACAGAGTAATACAGTAACCTCGGCAAGGTGTACAGAATGAAATAAGGGAAATGGAAAAAGAAACCAAGCTAGCAATTTTGTGGTGACACAGGCAAGGAGGAATGACTGTTTTCATAAAAGCAGCTTTACAAAGAGAGATTGAGTAGGTTCCTGAATCATTTCCAAACTAAAATGACAGATTACCAAGTGGACATGAGAGGCGAGAACGTGAGAATCACCAGGAGGATGTGGAGGTTTGCAGTAAAAGACACTGAGAGCATTCCACGAGGTTTCTTCCGATGTCAAGAATTTTGAAAAAAGAAAAGTTTCTTCAGATTTCTATAGACTTTATTCTATATGCCAGAATTGGGTCCATGCTAATTCAAAAAATTGCATTTCTGTCTTAAAAACAAATGCTCAAAAAACAAGTGACAAAACCTAGACTCCCCATGTTGCAAAATGGAACTTAGCATGTCTGGTGAGGAAGGAGGTGAGATGAGAACTGCCCGCCATGCACACTAACTGTCCCCCATCCCATCAGTGTGGGGTGCAGTTCCACCGCTCTGCAGACACTGAGCTAGCACTTACCAGGAGGCAGGCTCAGGGCTGGGTGTGCACCTGAAGAACACACAGACGCCCCCTCCCCTGGCCCTCCTAGGAGAGGAGGCGGTCAGTTCAATGGGAATCTACAGTAAGAACCACGGAGGCTGTAACAGGGAAGTAAAGGCCAAGGCTGCAGGAGAAGAGTAAAGGGTTCTTATCTTGTGTGTTTTGATGTCCCTATACACACACACACGTGCACACACACACAGAGGCATATACACACATGTACACCCACATACATATGCACACACACCCATACCCAGCAACACATATACAAATGCAGAAATGCACACATGTACACACTCACATCCACACCCACTCACATCCACACACATGCATACACACATGCACACAATTCACATCTGCATGTGCACATGTATATGCACACATAGTCACTGCCACATACACATACCACCCCCGTGCATACATAGACACACAGGAAAAACCCCAAGCTCACTCCTCACTGGGAACCCTCTCACTACTATTGAGACTCAAAGAACGT
The DNA here is from genome assembly GCF_000001405.40 of Homo sapiens. Lineage (NCBI taxonomy): Eukaryota > Metazoa > Chordata > Mammalia > Primates > Hominidae > Homo > Homo sapiens. The sequence goes on along the minus strand of NC_000015.10, from coordinate 86,880,483 downwards.
TTTCTTTTCTGTCAGCCTTCCTTGGCCCTCCTGACATAAGCAATTGTTCCTAAACTTCTCCATCCCCTGCTCCATGCCTGAGATGTTTACAAGTTTGCTCCCTGTTTCCCCTTTAATCCTGATTATTTTATTAAGAGTTATGAATAGCATTTCACATGAATGGCAGCTCCCAGTGAAGGGTCTGCAACTCTGAGGCTATGAGTCCTCTAAATGAGTGAATTTCTTACTTTATCACTGACATAATTTTATAGTGTGATTTTCAAATGCATTTAGGTCAAGGAAAGCCTTTATTGGTACCTAAAGCTGAGATTCAGCAAGCTCGGAGATTCCATTGTCTGATGATAGTGAAAAGAAAACAAGAAAAGAAAAATGTAAATGTCGGCTCTGGATTTCTTCTCTGACAGGCACTGTTGCTGAGGAACGCTCTAGTGATCCATCACTTAACAGGACTCCACTAGTCTCAGGCCAAGGTTAACACATTGCTTCTCTTTCCTTTTTAAGCATCTCCTGCATCTGCTATTTGCTTTCCGTTACCAGAACTCCCAGATTTTTGCCCAAGGAAACTGAAGTTTCTCTTGGTGGTGGAATGACAAGAAGACATGGTCCCATGGGTATTCTGGCAACATCCCCTATGGTGGCAAAAGATGATGTGGCTGCTGCCCAGAGCCCTGGCACGAAGCCTGTGGCCACCTCTGACAAACACCCACAAACATGCAGCGGAGCTAAATAAAGAGCCGTTTCGTGAGCATCCCTGGCAGAGATGAGCAACACTTTCTCTGCCTCCTCAGAAAACAGTTTTCTGGAACATCAAGCCAAAGGAAAGGTGTAATTTATTGTGGGGATTGCATATTACATAATTAGTTTTTGGGAGTTCCTTCGGTAATTACAATCTGTAACATTTGTAATTGATTTGGTCAGATTAAAAATGGATGTGTTGGTGCATCTGTGAAACTAGCAAGAGGGCAAGGAGGAGTGGGAGGGGGAAATGTCTCACTGAAGGAGACCAAGAGCAACCTGGACTCAGGCCAAGCCCCAGATGACACCATTTCTGGAGCCAAAAGCACAGCAGGCCTCTAAGATGCACACTCAGCAGGTAAGTTCTTTCCCAAAAAAAGACCATGTGGGGAGGCCCAACATCCCCTGAGCAGCTCTTTATAACCATCAGAGGAGCTGCTGCCCCAGGGGCTTGTGAAGTCAGACACTTACCTTAGCCCTGCGTTGACCTGGGTCTGTCAACTAGATTGGCATAAATGAAAATTAGTCATTTTGCAAAACAGGAGGAAGGAGTCCTTCTCTTGAAGAGATGAGGGCCAAAGAGAGGATGAATGGGGCAAGAGTGCAGAAAGGAAGCTGCCACCTGCCAGACATCCTCTTGGGTGGAACACCTCTGACCCGAGCCCTATGAAAAGACTTCTGCCTTCTGGGACCTTCACCAAAAGGCTTTCGCCCCCTCTTGGTCTGACTCATGCTCCTGCCAGGGCTCCTTTGTTCTCCTGTCACAACCAGGTGTGCTGTGAACTGGAACAGCAGCTCTCTCTTCAGGCGGGGACCAGCTGCTGAAGGTTCCTGGACTCAGAGAATCCCATCCCAGTGGCTGTTCCTCCAACACTGAGAGCTCCAAACAGAGAGGAGGAGCTGCTCCTGAAACACAGCTGCTGTGGAGGTTATGGGAGGAAGACCAGGCATTCAGGAAAAGGAGTAAAATGTCCCAGTTGAGCAGGCTGATTAGCTAACATTGAACGAGCACCTACTGCCTATAAAGCATTGCAGAAAACTACAAACTCTCAGAAACAGAGCCTTAAGGAAGTCCAGTAGAGGACAGATCTGGGTGCAGATGATTACATTACAATGTGGTGGGCAAGTGCTTTACAAGAAAAACAGAAAGAGATTGAAGATATAGAAGAGAGAAACAAAGAAAGGAGCAGAGAAAGAAAAGCGAAGGAGAAAGGAGGAAAATAGAAGTACCGAGGAGCACCCGCACTGGGCCATGAACAAGAAGCTTGATGGATAGGAGGGATGGCCTTGTGGAGAAAAGAGTATTTTTCTCCAGAACAGGTGTCAGCCAACTACATTCTGCAACATAAATCTGGCCCACTGCCTGTTTTTGTAAACAAAGGTTTTGTTTTGGAATGCAGCCATGCCCATTGTATTGTCTGTGGCTGCCTTTGTGCTACAAGGGCAGAGTTGAATGATAGCAAGACAGACCCTATGACTTGCAAAGATTAAAATATTTACTACTCTTTGCAGAAGAACTTTGTCAAGCCCAGCCCAGGAACAAAACCCTAATCACAAAATCATACTGCATGCATAAAAGCATGTCTTCATTCTGTCTCCAGAGTCTCATGACACAAAAGCAAACACAGGATCTGCTTTTGTGGGTGGCATCGCTGAGCTACTAAACTCCATGTGGAAATCAGTCCCTCTTGGAGGTATTTTCTGTTCCAGAACAGACGCAGTTTACACTTTCCAGTGTTCTTTGTTTTTCCTCAACATCAACATGAGGTGGATGTGGAGGCTGGGTTATCCATGATGGGGGTAACTCCGTTTTAAAACACAGACATGTGTCATTAGAAATGTCACCATTTTTAGCTTTGACCTTAGGGAGAAAGAAGAATGTGAGAAGAGAGAAGAAGGTTGGTAAACACACTTCATGAGATGGGGAGGTCACGGTATCTTGGAAAAAAATGCAATTTAAATAATCCAAAGGAGTGTCCGGAGAGAAGCTGTTAAATTATGGAGCAGTAAGTGTCCCTTGGGCTTCTTTGTCTGGATGTGTTTCTAATCACTGATGGTTACAAGATATAGATAAATCTCATTGTCTCCCAGGGTCAGAGGGTGAGCCTGCTTACAGTGGATGGCAAAGTTCTAACTGGACTTGGAGATGCCTAGTGTGTTTCCTTCCTGTAGGGGAGGCTCATGCTTCATTACCTTCTACTTATCCCTTCCCCAGCGGTAACAGGAAGGAGAGATTCCAAGTATCCTTTGACAAGAAAGTCTGTCCTAAGAGGTCAACTGAGTTCATCCTCTCATCTCCAAGAACACAACTTAATATCCTCCAGAAGAGATGGTTATCTGCCCAATCTCTTCTGCATGGAAGAGCATGCCGGCCAAGACTAGTGACACACTGTTTAGCAATCCCTTCAGTTTGGTGCTATCCACTTAGAAAATGGGGCAGGGCTGGGCACCTGTCATACTCTTTCCATCCAGGTTGGGGTACTATGACTCAGGTTTTCTTAGTAAGTCCATTGTTGAGTGGCAGCCAGGATGCCTGCAGAAGAATGAGCTAGACAAGATCTCAGTGAGCACAGGAAGAGTGGGCAGGGATTGGTTATGGGGCTTTTATGCATTTGAACAGAGAAAGGTTGGAATTTGATAATTGACCCATATACCCTATCTTATATGGATCTGAGAAGAGAGCTCATTAAGTGCAGTGAGTGAGATGAGTGGGCAGAATTGATCTCTGAATGCTTTTTCCTAGACCAGGAATGGGAAAATAATAATAATGACAATACGGATTGTATTGCTATTGTTATTTTTATTATTGTGCCACGCATAATGCTGCAGGATTAGCATGCATCCATTCATTCAAACCTTTCAACAACCCTAGAGATAGGTATCATTATTCCATTTTAGAAATGAGGAAACCAGGACTTAGGGAGCCCAAAGTACACGTGCTCAGCCAACTACATTCTGCAAGGCAAATCTGGCCCACTGCCTGTTTTTGTAAATATATATTTTCTTGTTTTGGAATGCAGCCATACCCAGTGTTCATGTATTGTCTGTGGCTGCTTTTGTGCTACAAGGGCAGAGTTGAATGATAGCAAGACAGAGCCTATGGCCTACAAAGCTAAAAATACTTACTACTCTTTGCAGAATAACTTTGCCAAGCCCAGCTCCAGAAGAAAACCATAATCAGGCTGGTCAGCCACAGACTAATCTCCCTCTGACCCAGAACTCATGGCAACCAATCCCAAGAGGAACTTGTTCCCGCAGGAGAGGGAGTTCCTGAGGAGTCAGTTTTCTTTTATCAGCAGCATCTAGTCTGAACATCTCGGGGAGTCAGCAGCAGTATCACCTCCAGTCCCCTGGCTCCCAATTCTGAATGCCCTCCATCGGTGCAGCTTTCCCTCCACCTGGCCTCTGGTTTCTAAGGCCCTCTCTATTCATCTGTCTGGAGTCCTGCCCCGAAGCACAGACCAGGTTACTGGGTTGTGACCTTCCCATTCAACCCCCGCCTTCCCTTGTGTTTGAGACTCTCATTGTTCTCATCTGCTTAGAAGGGCCTCCTGGGCTGGGGTTTCAGAGTCCTTGGTATACAGGATGGCAGCTATGTAGAAACTGAATTTAAATGTTCCACCCTACAATATTTTGAGCATAAATGTTGGCCTCGATCAAACTTGAGGTGGCTACATTCTCTTATTCTTAGTGACAAAAGGACCCCAGCATTTATGACAAATGAAATTCTGCCACCTGCCTGACAAAGCTGTTTGGATGTTTTATGAGTCAAGGGATCACTTTGTTTCCTTCTTTACCAAGTACCTGCTAGTCCATATGGATTACCTGATGCTTGAGGATTGATCAATGCAGAGGAAGTCTGGTCTCACATTGAGGTGAGGTGGTATCTCAGCCTTAGACCCCTAGTCTAGCTTTCATTGATCTCTATCCCATTCTTAATGGTTAATTTTCACAGATCTCTACCCCATTCGTAATGGTTAACTTTCATTGATCTCTACCCCATTCTCAATGGTAATAGGAGCCCCTTTGTAATCTGTATCTTTAATCCAGCCTTTGAACATGGAGGCCAGAAAGTTGGAGGAAAGCCAGGGGTTCAATATCCTATGCAAACATTAATTTCTTTCCTATGGAAAACAATCTATGTGTCAGTGCTGTGCTAACATTGTATCTTTAATATTATGGCTATAGCTGTAGGCCAGTAAGCATTAATAAAACAGACCTACTTGAACAGATGCAAGTCAGACACTGAAGAGAAAGTTATGAGGCTCAACGCTGATCCCAACCGCTCACTCATCTGTTCCTCTTCTATGGAATCTTCTAGTAAAAAGTTTTTTAAAAAAAATCCAATTACACTGCAGCAAGGAATATGCTGTGTGTCTAAGGGAAACTGGTACATTTGTCAACCACGTTCTGGATAGTAAGATGTGATCTGGCTCTGGGCTTGTCCCAGGTAGCAGACACATTTGTAAGACCTAGATCTTATTTATGGTGACAGTGGCAGAGCATGATGAAGTGCCTGCCCTGAGCAGGGTGTGGGGGGCCTAAGATGGATTTCACCCTTTTATTGTTATTAAAAGATTCTTAGCATTTACAGGGAAGAGAAATTGTGACACGTTTTCTCTGGGGGTCATGAACAAAGCATCTAAGAAAAACAAGTTATATTTTTTTCTGTTCTGTATTTTTTAGCTCCTCTAAACCCATGGTCCTGGTTATGATCTCTTTGTTTTCTGAACTGCAAAACAATTAATAGTCAGTTTGTCACTTGTCAGGTCCCTAAGGGCACACCTTAGGGAGTGCCCAGAAAAGTTATGAGGTTGGAGGTCATGCCGGGAGACCTTCTACAGTGGCATTTTTGAACTGTTGGACTGCTACCAATTAGTGTGTCCTAAAATCCTATTTTTAAAAGTAATAGGATTAAAGGAATAGAAAGTAGCATATGTCTGGTTCATATGTGTTGTGCTCTTTATATATACTGGGCCACTGCATAAAAAGTACTCATAATATGGGGTTACATTTAAAAGTATTTGAGAAATTCTGTTCTAAAGGTTAATCCCAGGTCAGTGAGGGGAACAAAGAATGTCCCCATTTCTTCTTCCTCCTGTGCCTTACTCCACATAGAGGGATTTTCCTAACTCTGGATCATCTGGTGCTCAACTAGCAGCTGTTATTTCCCAGGTGCTGTGGCAGGGGCTCAGGTACCCACTCTGGTACTCCTTCAATAAGAACCAGGGCCTTTGCTCAAACTAGAAGGGAGCCAGAGTGGGTGAGGCTCTCAACAGTGTAATGGGGAGAAACGAACATAATTTAGTATTTATTATGCATAGGTTACTGGCCCCAGGGTGTGTGTGTGTGTGTGTGTGTGTGTGTCCCACCCACAACAATCTTGGGGCAGGTCCTTTTACTACATTTTGCACATAAAGTAATTGAAGTTGAGAAGCATAGCACCATAATTTTTCTTAAAAATCTGACTGTCTAGATAGTTTTTATTTTTTTCTTTTATTTAAGCAACTCTTGGGACAGTTACCATGCCCTGTGGAATGGATTGGAAAATATTGACATAATTTTGGCTCTCCATAGAAGCCTTTTTCATGATATTATAGGAAATAATGCAGGCAGTTATATTAGGTTTTATGATTAACAAAGCACTTCCATAGCTGAATCAGACTTGACCCTCACCTCATATGTGTCAGGTGGTTATGGGAAGTATTGTCCCCATTACAGAGATTTAAAAACTGAGAAAAGATATAGTAAATGACTCACAGGCTTAATAGGTAATAGAGCCAAGTTTTGAACCTAGGTCTTGCCTCCAAGTCCACTGTTCTTTCTATTATAACTACTACTGTTAAGATCATAAAGACTATTGTATCTTGAGTTCCATTCTATAGTTTCTATTATGCTGAAGGCAAAAAATATTACTACCACCAAAAGAGGTAGTAATATTTAGTTTCTTAGTCTGTTCAGATAGCAATAGCAAAATACCATAAATTGGGGTGCTTATTAAACAACAGAGATTTACTTCTCACAATTCTGGAGGCTGAAAAGTCCAAGATAAGATGTGGTGTTTGGTGAGGGCTCATATCCTGATTCATAAATGGCACCATCTAGCTGTGTCCTAACATGGTGGAATGGGCAAAGGATTGCTCTAGGGCCTCTGTTATACGGGCACTAATCTCATTCATGAAGGCCCCACTCCCCAAAGGTTCTACCTCTCCATACCATCAACTTGGGGCCTGGAATTTCAATATGTAAGTCTTTCATGGGGACAAAAACTTTCAGATTGTATCAGGGAAGAAAACTGGACATTATCATTGTGGAGTGGAGATTTTTCAAACATCTTTGAAAGCGCTGAACAAAAGTCGATTCTTAAAATTTTTATTCTCATTATTAATATCTTATGGCATTCAATGGTATCTAACCAGATTACTAACCCCTTTATATAATACCGAGAATTTGCTCAGAAATCAACTCATCTGGCTCAGCAGGGAAATAGGAAAAACCAACATGCCTTTGCTCCCACACTGCCTTCCCCAAGCTCTTCAAGTGAAAAGCAAAAGATAAGACTTTTGTCTGTCATTTTAAACAGGAAAAATTAATTGCTCCTGCAGAGATGAAAACTTTACCTTTGAAAAGAAACCACCAGTGAAAAATGCTTTTTTTCTTCAGTTCCCACCTGTGGAGACCTGGGGTTTGGCAGCAAATTGGAGCTGAAAGAGTATAATCACAAAGACAGATGCCAGATTCCTCTCTAATTAGAAATGACTTGTCTGGTAGACACTGTGACTGAAGGCTGACAATAGGTAGAGGGAAGCAAGATGACGTGTATAACATTTGCATGTTTGAGAATAAGTGTCTTCACATTGGCTGTGTATATATAACTAAGTCTGCTATTGAATTTCTGAGAAGGAAAGGATAAATAAAAAACAGGATTGCTAAACATATCATTATGGATTTGTAACTGGCATAGAAAGTACTTTCTTTTTATTTATTTATTTATAGACGGAGTCTCACTCTGTCGCCCAGGCTGGAGTGCAGTGGCTCTATCTCAGCTCACTGTAACCTCTGCCTCCCAGGTTCAAGCGATTCTCCTGCCTCAGCCTCCTGAGTAGCTGGGACTACAGGTGCACACTACCATACCCAGCTAATTTTTTTCTATTTTTAGTAGAGACAGGGTTTCACCACATTGGCCAGGCTGGTCTCGAACTCCTGACCTTGTGTTCTGCCTACCTCAGCCTCCCAAAGTGCTGGGATTACAGGTGTGGGCCACTGCACCCACGGCCTCTTGTCTATATTTTTAGATTTTTCTCTGCAATAATAGTAAGCGGGTTTGCAATACCATTAGCGGCAGAATTCAATACATTAATTTATGAAGGAGGAAAACTTGGTCTAAGATTCAGGACTCAGGGCTTCTATTTTCAAATTGTTTCATCAGCTTGTGTCTCAATTTTCTCCACCTGAAACAATGAAATGTTGCCTATTTGACTTCATAAAATCTATTAAGGAGGAAAATGCAAGGGGACCTGATGAGAATTCACAGGCACTGCTTGTGATTTATGCGACAAGCTCTTCTGTCCCAGCCATCTGACTACTACAGCTGTCCTGACAGAGCTCCCACGTGTGCGTGGGGCTGCACAACTGCATTGGAATCTGCTCTGTGTTTGAGTTCTAGATATGCTTCTGTTGATCGATAGGAATTTGTGAAATTCATTTCAGCATCACTTAAAGCATTTTCTCATCTGAATGAGAAAATGGAGATATGAATACCACAGGGTTTTTGTAGTATCAGATGTGAACATATGTACCAAAGTATTTTCTAAATGTAACTGTATTTTAAAGCTAAATGTGTCAAGTGACAATCATTCAAATAAATAATTCAACCAATCATTTTATTTTCATTTGAGGGATGATGTAGAAAGACAAAGTAGTGTTGTCCCAAAAACTCTTTTGGCACAAGTAGGTCTCCGGAGTTCTTGGAGCCAAGATGGTAGGTGTGGAAGGAAGTCAGAGCTGTGTTATTTTGAAGAGCGTGAAGGTAGAGGTGACCCAACAGTCCCGGTGTATGCAATACCAGAATAAAAACCTGAAGATGAACCAAAGCATCCAACCATTGGAAGAGGCCAGGGGACCCCAAGTCTGAGGCAATGAGGCAGTTAACCATCTTAAGGCTTAGTGAACAGAGTGAGGAAGGAGAAAAGTCGGTAGAAGGAGGAGAGAGCCTGAGGATCCAGACCACAGGAGTGGCAGCCTTTTGCCAAAGAGCATGTGGGAAGGGAGAATGAGGGAAGGGGATTCTGTGTGTTTAGTCTATAGAGATCTAATGATACTACAGAGATCTAATAAAACTATGACTCATGGCAGGTCAAGGAGTTCATTTAGGCTTGTTTTGTGAAGGTATCTGGGCTTCCTATTGAAACAGTTGTCAGGTTGACAGGTTGAGGTCAAGCTTGATCCTTTTGAGGGTCTCTGCAGATAGATACTCCCTTTGAAATAGCAAGCCCCATATCTGACAGATGGATGTCTCTAGGGATCATGGATACTGGAGACAATTTCCTTTCTGTTCCCATCTCCTACCCACAAATCATGAGGAAGAAAGGAAGCAAAATGACAACGGCTTTTCTGATTTGGTTTCTTAAGCTGGCTTCCTGGCTAAGTCACTCAGATAAGTTTGTCTAATTTCATGGAATGTTTCCAACAGGAAGGCATCATGTGGGTTGAGGGAGATAGTGAGCGACAGATAAGAGTTACTATCCCTAAGCAGTTAGTTGCTGGGCACCAAAGGCAAGCTAGCCCAATCTCTCTGTCAAGTCGACTAAGGAATCTGTACTTTAGATATTCCCTTGAGCTAAAATTTTGTTTGGAAAATTCCAATGTTGTTTCTGTAGCCAACTGGCCAAACTGAAAGATCAGATCCAATATCATCTTTGATGAAATAGTAATCTCAGTACATATGATGTATCCCCTATAGTATAGACAGCACCAGCAAGCCCGTTTATCCTGAAAGAAATCAGGGCCATGATTACACTGCATCTCTTTTCCTCATGATTTCTCCCACTCATTTATTCATCAGATGCCTTTTTTTTCTCTGCTCCTTTCTTGCTTTCCATATATCTATTTGAAATATGTCTGAAATAAATCTCAAGGCTCCCAGGAATATTTCTGCTCATGTAAGCATGTGTACAATTTTCATCCTCATGTTTTCACACAAGCAATGTTTAAATGCCAAAGGGAAAGGGCTTTTGCTGTGTTTGTTTCTTCTTTTTTTTTTTTTTTTTTTTTTTTTTTTTTTTTTTTTTTTTTGCAGTATGCTTTACTTTTTTCTTGCCACAGTTGGATGCAGGCTATGGATTCTCTTTTAAATGTTATTTCTGAGGCAGAAAGAGGAAATGGAAAAGCTTAAATCCTGACTTTGCCACTTACTCATTATTTGACCTTCAAGATGTGACTTAAATTCTCAAAGCCTCAGATTTCTCCCTTGTAAACTGAGGATGAAAAATAGAGATAAAGTATTTCTCTTAGTCTATATAAAGCATTAAGTATTAGTGGCTATAAATTAGTTCCCTTTTCTTTCCTTTTCCAATTAGATGATCTTAAGACAATTTAACTAGAAAGTTCATGTTGTTCAATTATAAACATGAATCTCTTCTAATCAAGGTTATCTGTGTGTTAGAATAGGGGGTCTGAAAGGCCCTGCAGTCTAAATAGAAGTGGGGTGATGCAGTCGAAGGAAGGAGGGAGATATGACTTTGATGCAATGGTTTCAAAATGGAAACTTGCGGGCAATGGATTAGCCTATTTTGCAGCTCTGCTGGACATAAGTCCAGGTAAGCAACCAGGTACTGTCAAGTAACAAAATGATGCTTGTCTCCTCATAAGCTTCCTAGGAAAATGAGAATTCAATTTAATGACTTAAGGTAGAAAGGATCTCAAGAGATGATCAAGCTTAGACTTGGGCCACTTGGGATAAGGTATGTGAAGTACTTAGCCAAGGGCTTGGTACATGGCCCTCCTTGTCAGCATGTGTAATAGTTGGGGTAGTAGGGATGGTTATAATAATTATTATTGTTATTTTATCATTACTATTATTAGGAAGCATTTGTCTAGAATCAAGTCAAGCAAAGTTTGGTAACACTTTCTTCTCTGTCTCTAGGCTTTATCCACATATCGGATCTACAGGGTCTAAATAGACATCCTATGAAATATGCCCCTCATGACTTCTAGACTGTGCCCCAAGTTCTTCTCTAAGGAAGTTGAACACTAGTGTGTCATTTAGCTTTACCATATCTTAGATTAAAACATCTACATGTTTATTGCTAAGGAAGGAAACCAAAGCCCTGAAAATGACCATGATTATTAATCCAAGGATGTTGAGCGGCTCTGAGGCAGAGAGGAGGAGAGACCTGCAGCTGGATTCTCTGTGGTGGGTGGGAGCAGCTGTGCCATTGTGCATTCAGGGGTGGGCATCACGTGGACCACTGGGAAGACACGGTGGGGGGTGGCTTTTGCATACTTGTGTCTCTATCTCCCACCTCCATGCTAGCTTTTCCCCTGACACACCTCTCTGTCTTACCCAGTGGGAATTTTGGAGAATTGACCATTAGACAGTTTATCAGTTGTGCAAGCACAGTTTCATAGAGTTTAGTCTGCTTAACTCAAATTCAGAAGCATTTATCACCCTGCCACCAAGGCAGTTGACAGCTAGTATATAAATGCCCTAAAAATTCTTTCAAAATGATGCCTTTGCTTGGTCCTTGAAGCTGTTGATTTAAAGGCCTTGAATTGGGAATGTCCTAGCTGTAAGCCAAGGTGGACGTGCCACTTTCTTTCATTATCTTCTACTAAAAGCACAGGCAGTTTAATTCATACCCGTTGTTTCTATTCTATTTTTTTCCAATTTTGAGATTGCTTTTTATTTTTTCAACATGTTGCATGTCACAATTCCATTAATTTCTGTCACCCCACCAATATCTACTAGTGGTTCACAGGCCTTACTTTTTAGTAGTTTTGTTGGACATAAGCCCAGATATAAACCAGACAGTGCGAAGTCACAGAATGAAGATTTTCTCTTTAATGAATTCCCAGGGTGAGTGGAAATCAGTTTAATGTCGTTCTAGATAGTCATATTTCGTTACAACATCCTCTTCACGAATGCTTTACACGCCTATGTTTTTAAAGCATTAATTTCTAGTTTTAAACCACTAGATTCGAAAGTACTTAGAATTATGTGATAGTTGAATGTGTCCCTTGTGCAACACCCTTGTGGGGAAGTGGACATTTCTTCCATGATTTCTAGTCACTAAACCTGAAAGAATTCCCTTAGCTTGGTGCTAAAAGTCATAAAGGATTTTCTAATTGCTATATAAACAAGACTTCTCATCTAGAAAGACCCAAGAGGTTACAGTCTTGTGTGGCTTGGTTAGCTATATGCAAGCTTTGTGCTATACAGTTAGTGCCACATATGAATAGTCCTCTGGCGACCTCACAGGGTTTGAAGCTTTTCTTGTGACCCATTAAACCAAATCATCTTCACTCTACGTCCATGGCTGTTCCTTTGCTTCTTGCCTATTTTTTCATGTTTTTTTTCATGTACGTTTCATGTGTCTTCAACTCTACCTGATGACCGATGTTCAACTTCATCTGATGTTACATCCTGACCTCTCACAGACCGGATTAGCCACATTGATAATTCCTTATTTTGAAAAACTGTAAAATATACACAATCTGACATCTCTTGGATCATGGCCCCAATATATGATCTGGATTCAGGCATTTATGAAACACCAAAATAAGGGCTCACCTCTCTGTAACGATTGCTATTTCCTTTATTCCCTATTATAAAATAATCTGGGTTCATTGGGATATCTGTATATTGGACGGCCATGGATAAACTTAGAAATTTGCATTTAAGGAGACAAATTAGTACCTCAGATCTTTAAAGTCAATCCTATCCATTTCCTCAGCTTTAAGTTACAGCTGCTAATTGATTTCCCTCTGCTTTCATACCAACATATATCCTACTTCTTTTAAATGTCTATTTATTTTTGCACAGTGCCATGAACAATAAAATTGAGCCTAAAATATCTAGCACTATAAGCCCCACCTAGTCCGGGTGCATTTTGCCATTTTATTGTTCTCCCCGCCTCACAGGTTCACTCACATGACATGTTTCTATTTCAAGTATAACACAATGAGTCTTCACCAAAGCATCAAAGCCCATTACTGAAAACAAAATTAAACACGTCCAGTGTAATTTAATGCTTAATTTTTTAAAAAAACTGTTGTTTTCACTCCTGCCACATACAGAATCCCTCATCCTCGGGGCAAGCAGTAAGTGGAAACATGTACCACAAAACGCAGAAAGTTATTCTCTCCTACCTAGTAGGTGAGTTGATTTGTAAAATGTAAAGTTAGCATAATGTCAACTCTTGGCAAAAGGAAAATTGAAGTACCAGCACATCAAGTGTGGTTTTGAGGGAAGTGTTATGCTGTGACCAACGTGGGTAAAGAAAAAAAATGAGGGCTGAGTAAACCTTCAATGAGTTCTATAATTGTACCTACCATTTATGATTGTGAAATACAATTCCCCCACCCCCAAGAAAAGGATAAAGCTTAAGTCCTGACAGCATGAGATGCAAGTGTGTTTATGACATGACCCCTCTTCTTCCTCATTACTCACTCCACTCCCAAACTCCATGCCACAGCCACACTGATATGATAGATGTCTCCTAGGAGTGTCTCACCATCTCAACTCATGCCCTTGCAGACATTAGTTAATCAAATGGGACCTCTGTTCTGCATCTTGCCTAACTTCAATCCATTCTTGCAAATGCTCTACTGATACTCTCTTCTCTGGGAAGCTTTTCTGACTTCTACAGTCTCTGTCAGATGGGCAAATAGTGGACTAAGCATAGTTCTATTTAACAAATGCTTGAGATGGAGTCTTGCTCTGTCCTCAGCTCACTGCAACCTCTGCCTCCCAGGTTCAAGCAATTCTCCTGCCTCAGCCCTGAGTAGCTGGGACTACAGGCATGTACCACCATGCCTAGCTAATTTTTGTGTTTTTAGTAGAGACGGGGTTTTACCATGTTGGCCAGGCTGGTCTTGAACTTCTGACCTCAAGTGATCTGCCTTCCTCAGCCCTCCAAAATGCTGGGATTACAGGCTTGAGCCACCACACCCGGCCAGAGGTAGTATTCTATTTATTGTTGATTTGCCAGCATCTAGAAAAATGCCTCCTTTGGGAAAGAGTAGGTGCTCAATAATTGTTTTCTGAAAGACTTATGCAAGAAGTAGATGACTGTTGTATTAACCATCATTCCCCCAACCTGGTTTTGTCACAGAAACAAGATCACAGTTTGCATACCTCCTTTGAGGGTGTGATCAATGCCATAGCGACATGAAGTAAATATGGCTCAGGCCATCAATGGAACTGAAGTCCAACCAACAATTCAAGAATAGTACCTGAGGAAATGGTATATAGGCAATGATAATGGTCACTATTAAAATACCCATTGTCCTTCATTTGTCAAGATGACTTTTCTAATTCCTTCAATGGAATGTTTATTTTGAGTCATAATCCAGTTATGAGAAGAAAAATGATCTTATTTTTATATTCAGAGTTATGATGAAAGGAAATTGTGGTTTGAGAATTTAGAAGGGAGCCAAAAAGAATGGCAGAGTAGATGACAAAGATGTTTCTTACAGTGCAACTTGGGGGGAAGGGAAAGATGGCTGAGGCAAGGTCATCTGGATGTTAGAATGATAATGAAAATGATAATGATAACAGCTAAAAGATACCAAGCACTTGGTTATATGCCAGACCTAGAACTAAACACTTCATATGCATTAACTCATTTAATCTTCTCATAAACCTGTGAAGGATTGAAGCACAGGGAGTTAAAGCTACTCATCCCAAAGCTGCAGAGAAAGGAAGAGGGAGAGCTAGGATCTGAACACAGATAGGCTAAACATAGACTCCATTTACTTCAGATGAGGGACTGGGAAAAAATGAAGGCGCAGGTTGACACAGTGTATAGCACTCTGCTGAGTTATAACATGCTGTGACATCAGGTGTTAGTGGATGAAGCTAAGGTTGTGCTTTGGGAAGAAAATGGAACGATTAGCTCTGCAGACATGGGATTTTTCTCTCAGTTATACTGAGTTAAGAAAATGAAACATGGTTTATCTAAACTTGTCATCCGCTTAAACTATTTATACTGTCCATTTTCTTTAGGACTATCATACAACTGAGAAGGCAGAAGTTGATTCTTTCTGCCTATATTCACTCCTCCGGTCCAATTATGCCAAGGGCCTGTGTTTCTGAAGTGCTCAGTTTCAACAAAGGGTACCTCCAAAATGTTGTCACAGTTTCATTTGCAAACTTGCAGAATACAAAACGTGGGGCTTTGAGTCAAAATGGTTGCAGTTTTCACACTTGTGACTTTGGATAATTCAAATAACCTCTTTGATTTTTCTGATTCCTCTTCTATAAAATGAGGAATGCAAGTTAGCTCTCCCACAGGGCTGTCGATGAATATCAAATTGAATATTGTATCTGCAAGCATTTCCTAAACTTCAGTGAAATGATGTAAAGTGTTATACTAGGGTTTATTGTTGTTGTGTTCATTCACCGTTCACCCAACAGCTATTTATGTAACTCCCACGATGGATCAGCACTCTTAGGGGTACCAGGGATTCTACAGCGAACAAGTCAACAAGACCCCTGCTCCAGGGAGAACAAATATTCCCATCAGGATGGTAAAGGGAAAGAAGGCAATAAGCAAGAAAACAAACGTAATGATTTTTTATTGTGATAAGTGCTCTGAAAAATCAAAATATGGAGAGAGTTTAGGGTTGTTTTTGCTACATCATATTCCAACCAATAAGACTGATTGCAGAATGCTTTCATAGACATCCATAGCACAGTGGTATGAAATCCAGGGCGACTTGCTGCACCGTTGAT
Source organism: Homo sapiens (assembly GCF_000001405.40). Classification (NCBI taxonomy): domain Eukaryota; kingdom Metazoa; phylum Chordata; class Mammalia; order Primates; family Hominidae; genus Homo; species Homo sapiens. Next base: position 86,864,792 of record NC_000015.10, on the reverse strand, counting down.
TGTGCATCGTAACTCCTGACGCCTAGCTCCTGGTAGGCTCTTTGAACACGTGTTTGTTGAATGCTCCACTAAGTCTATGCCAGTGACTTAATTTCCTGATGCCTTCCTGCTATAAAACATTCATGAAAGAGTCATGACATTTGTAGTTAAGATGGAGCTTAAAGCTTCAGTGAGATCAACATCTTGATTTTGGTGGAGGTAGCTTAGTAGAGTAGTATGAAGGCAAGCTCTGGAGTAAGATGACCCAGGATTTACTCTCAGCTCTAATACCAATTACCATAGCCAAGTTGCTTCAACTCTGCATATCCATTTTCTTATCTATGACATGAAGGTATTAAAATTCTCTTAACTCATAAGATTACTAATAGTGTGATATGAACTAATGCAAAAAGTACTTACAATCGTGCCTGAGTAAAGCGAACTTTCAATACATTTTTTGGTAGATGGGAAAACTCAAGGCTTCAAGGTATTTTCCTATGAGTCAATGCAAGTTAGTGGAAAAATAACTAGAAATCAGAGTGCTGTTTAATATTTATTTCTACAACTCACAGCCATAGGCTCTGGTGTCCCTCTGGGCTTGGATTATGTTTTCAAGCAGGTCAGGCTGACCTAGGGAGCAAGTATGCCTTCTTTCTTACATTCAACTCAAGAGAAAGAGCCTCTGGCAGCTATTTCAGAGGTGTTTTGGCTTCTGTTTTTATGCAAAGCTGTGCTACCTAAGTAGTAAAAAGTGCTGTGCACACAAGTATGCCTTCACTGGGGACAAGCAGGTGGGACTTTGCTGTTCTGGTCATTGTTAATAATTGTATCAATTACCTTTTGTTGAAACCCTACCATCCCCCAGGTGCTAGGCTAAGTAGTTTGTGTAGACTATAACATCTACTTCACGTAACAAACCTATGAAATGGTTCTTATAATCCCCATTTTAAGACTAAGGACAATTAATTATGTAACTTCTTTAGTATCACACAGTTTCTGGTCCATCTGACTTCAGAACCCATGTGTTTTCCTTTAGAAGCTGTTGCACAGATATGATCACATTTCTGCTATTATTACTTTGTTATGCCCATGATCCATACAGAATGTTCCAACATTTACAATATGAAATGCTTGCTACTCACAGGGAAAGTCCCATCTAATAAACAATAGGAACACTTCCCAATACCTACCCAGACCAAATCCTTTGCCTCAAGCAAGAGATGGTGACTTCTCTTACTTATCACAGCAAGGGAAAATGAGGGCTTTTTTTTTTTTTTCCAAAGAAAACTGAGCCCAGTAACAGGCACTGGTGGTGAGCTTTCTCAGGCAGCGATTACTGTGGCTTCCTGGCCATGCTGTGGATGAGACATCCATTAGGCCTCAAGGGCTTGAATCTAGAGCCTGAGTCACAGTTGCAGCTGCTCACACGGTGTGAATGCTGAAAGCTCTAATCAGACATCCAGTCATTGGCTTCACGGTTGCCTTTCTCTTTGATGAGGAAATATGCAGTTCCTTAGGGGTGAATGTCAAATGTTCATAAATAGAGAAGCATCTGAAATATCTATGAGCAATTCTTATTTATAGGAATCATTTATCCGGAGTCTCTATATGCCTTTCCAGCTCCAGTATTTATCTATGGCATTATCTATCACCATGCAGCACCCATATATCCACATGCTCTTTCTATTTATACGCATGGAATCTATCTCTCTAATTGTTTTCGAACCTCTAACTAGTGAGTAGAGTAATTTACCTCCTGCAGCATGGTAGCACGTGCTTCCCTGGACTGCTAATTCTACCCTCAGCAAGCCTATTGGCAAATCATTTGTCCATCCTCTCACAGTTTTTGCCCATATTCATCAGCAAGTACCTGTGTTTCTAGCTACCATGTTTGGTCCAATTAATGTAGGACTCTTTTCCTTACATAGTGCATTTTCCACATCCACCTTCTTGCTTTCCTCTTCTGATAATTTCATAGATGTCCTCGTGTATGTATATCCTCAGCACAACCAATAGCTGTTACGTAAATGCTTGTGGCCAAAATGGTAAAAAGAACTTTGTTTTTGTATTCGTATTTGTTTTTGTTTTTGTTTGGAGATGGAGTCTCGTTCTGTCAACCAGGCTGGAGTGCAATGGCGCGATCTCAGCTCACTGTGACCTTTGCCTCCCAGGTCAAGTGAGTCTCCTGCGTCAGCCCTCCGAGTAGCTGGGACTACAGGCATATGTCATCACGCCCGGCTAATTTTTTGTATTATTAGTAGAGGTGGGTTTCCACCATGTTGGCCAGGCTGGTCTCGAACTCCTGACCTCAGGCGATCCGCCCGCCTCGGCCTCCCAAAGTGCTGGGATTACAGGCATGAGCCACCATGCCTGGCTGAAAAGAACATTAACTTTGAATTAAGGATATACAAATTCAGATTAAATATCCAATCTTATAGGTGTGCACCCTTGGGCTAATATCATAAACAATTTGAGCAGCCTTATCTGTAGGACTTATCAGTAATACTAATCTTGTAGTTTTGTTGTGTTGTAGATTTTTAAGTAAGTTATAATTTATGTGTTCTGCCTATAAATGCTGGTTCTCTGTGCAATACACTTTCCCAATGACCTATAAGTAACATTCCTCAAGCAGTTACTCTGCGTAGAGACTATGGTTTGTGTTTTTCATGTCACTTAACCCCAAATGATTCTAAGAAGTAGGTACTGTTGTTATTCCAATTTCATAAAATGAGAAAGCAATGCTATAGAGGTTGGTAGCTTGGACAAGAGTACACAAGCAGAAGGAACAGGGAGCAAGATTCCAACCCTAGTTTTTCTAAATCTGAAGTTCCATGTAGACTCTTAATTGCAGTATCCTTAGCACCTAGGACAATGCTCATCTTTGCAGATTTGACCTGATGTCTATGAGCTATTGCTATCTTCAGAATTGCGTTTATTTTTTGTGATAGCTGATGACATATAGTTGGTTTGACTTTGTGGATAAACCTGACAATTAACCCATGAATACAAATAAATACTTTAGGGTTGGACATTTCAAACACATCAGTCTCTTCTCAGGAGTATGGGTGGCATACTGAGGACATTGATGAGGCAATGTTTTAAAAAACAGCTAACATTTTTGGTGTCCTCACTATATGCCAGCACATATTAAATACCTAATATATTGTTTTATCCTTACAACAGCTCTGTGAAGTAGATAACATCATTATGCAATTGTAAAAACGGGAAAACTGAGTAACAGAGAACTTTAAGTTACCAAGGTCACACTCATAATAATGTTTAAAACCAGGCTCTGAATGTTGATATTCTAGCTCCCTGTAGTCGGAATAGTTACTAAACCTTTTTGAACTTCATTGAACATATTAATAGAATAGGGATAATAACATAACCTAACTCAAAAGATTTTGAGAATTAAATGAGAAACTGTTCTTGAGACAGTCCTTAGAACATAGCACATTGAAGAATGAGCTCAATACAGGTTAACATCATCATTTGTAGCTGCTGGATTTCAAGCTCTCTGAGGGCAGGTATCATATCTAGTTCACTTTTGCTTTCCCCACAGCACCCAGACAGTATGTTATTGCCTATGGTTGGTGCATCATAGACACCTTTGAATGAAACTGAAGAGAAAATAGATACCTTCAATGGGGATCAGAATTCCCTAGAAAAAATTTGGGAGCAGTGACCTTCAGGAGTGCCTGGGAGCTTGGAAAAAGGTGAAATAACTTCATTAGTGCCCTTCCATCCACCCAATGAAATCAACAGACCCCTGCGACCTCCTTAAGAAGGCCCATCACTTGGAACTGCATTGATCTAGGGCAGGTGCAAGACTGACACAGCTTCCCACATCCCTGCTGCCCCCTGCCTGGGCTGGGGAGGCACAAGAGCAGCCAGAAGCCAAGGGGTAGGTAAACAAAAAGCCTCTCCCTCAACTTCTTTCACCTCCTTATTGCTTTCTGCCCATGATAGGTGCAAGCAGAATATAGATTTCCCTGTGGTAGGTGGTGGCTCTGTTAACATTTTCAGAAACATAGAAACATGTGCTCATCCAGACACATGTGTATCTTCATAGGCACACACACACACACACACACACACACTTACTCACAGAGGAAAGGAAGGATCACTGATGGCAGGAACTACCAAAAATAAGCTCCTTGGGCTTGATTGTTGAACAGCAGCCCCTGCTGCGGGACAAGGCACCAAAGCATAATTTGTAGTCGTGTAGTACCAACATGTCTGGATGGCAGTGTAAAACATTTATAAGTCAGGCTCTAATGAACAGCCTCTGTGCTTTATGACTGCAGTTAACTCTTTCTCACTTCTCAGCTGGTAGGAAAGAGGAAGAAATTGTATATAAATATAAATATATATATATGAAATTATATATAAAGAGATATATATATATTCCAGGAGAAAAAGAGAAAAAGCAAATTTCTGACACAAAAGGAATGAAGGGGAGCTGGCTCTCTTGATGTAGTTGTTATAGTCAATAATAATGATAATGGCTATGTCTAGTCTATTCAGAACTCACCATGTGCTGGGCACTAAACTCAGAGCCATGCATGCGTCATCTCCTGTAATCCTAAAACATGGTACAGGGGAGGCTTCATTGCCCTCCCTTGACAGATACAAAACTGAGGCTCAGAGAGGCTTGGTAACTTGCCCTAAGTTCACCGTTTTTACAGTCGGTGAATGACTAAGTTAGGTTCGTAGGGCTTTGAGATATTCCGCCCCAAAATCAATCATTAAAGTATAGCAAAAAGACATTATTGAATCAGACTAGACCTAGGCAAAACTTGGGATCAGATGCCTGAACATGTTCAACTAGTTTCAACTTCAGATTTAATCCTCTGGCTAACAATCCTCAGTGGGAAGTCTCATCATCTCACTTTGGATAGCAAACTCGACAGTATCTTTAAGTTGTCCAAGGTCACACAGCTGATAAACTCTAGAGATGGAATTAGGAAGCAAGCATGTCTGACTCCAAAGCCATGTATTGTCCCTAGAATACCAAGGTGTTGAGGTGTGAGTATTCTTCTTCCATATGTGCACTCATGCCTCTGAGTGCTCCCCACCACACATGAACACTTCTTATGTACTCTCTCCTTCATGATTTCTAAGGCGACTCGTCCAGACCTGCTGCAGCTGGTCAAGCCTCTCGTGACAAGCCGTGTGTTCTCGGCACCCTTACAGAATGGCATTTGTCCAGATAGCAGAATGCCTTACCAAAACTAAAAGCTTTGATAGTAGCAACCTTTGAACCCAAAGGACAGCATCCCAAGTAGCATGGATTTATGGGACAGTACTCTTCATGGGAGATAGATTTAAGGGGAAGAGGGTTAAAGGCCACTCTCAACTTCACACTACTTCTATATGATGACAACATTCTTTTATTAAAAGAGGAGTTTTCACCTTAGCTCAGTGGCCCTGCCCTGTTCATGTTTACACCCTAGCACCTGGCACACTAATGCTCAATTAGTGCCCATGAATATCCTTTGCACAGATGTGAATGTCTAGGTCATCACTGCCTGTGGGAAGTGCCTTGCCCAGGGTGAGGCTAGAGCCGTTTCTGGCATCCAGGGTGATCAGTTGTGCTGGAAACATCCATCTATGGATTTATCACAGCTAGACTCATATATTAGTTCCTCTGAGAAACATTCTCCAATGCAATAATTAGGGTTAACTCTTCCCTATTCCATATGCCTTGGAGCATGCTTTCACTAATATAACAGCAGCACAGCAAAACAGGCTAGTGCTGAGCTTGGGCAGCAGTTGAGCCTAGTCTTGAGCATTTGTCCTACCATTTGGAAGGTATATGAGCTTAGGAAAGGTAAGTAGCCTTTTTTGAGGTTCTAATTCTTCTCCATAAGGTGGAGGTAATAATATTTAACTTTTAGAGTTGTTTCAAGGATTAAAGATAATACAACTGAGAAGAAGGCCTGATAAGAAAGACACAGTGGTCTGGAGTCCACATGCAGTAGTCTTTTAGACCTATCTAGACCACCTTAATTCACATACAAGTACACACTCCATCCCCCTACCCCACCCAAGTTTCCTGATTCTTCATGACAGTTAGCACTTTCCAACATTCCGTAGATTTTACTTATGTTTGTTCTTGAGCCTGTCCCTGTTACCCCAACTCCCTCCTGAGCATGTAAGCTCTTAGAGAGCAAGGGGGTTAGTTTCTTTGCTTACATTTATGTCTCAGTGCTTACAACAGTCTCCTGGACATAATAGGTTGTCCGTGAATGTTTGCTGAATGAATGGATGAATGATAATTACCATGTTGTAGTTACCAGTCTCCTGCTCCCTTACACACACACACACACACACACACACACACACACCACCTGAAAGGTGTGAACTGAGAACTGCTTGAAGTCAGAAACTGTCTCCTGTTTTTCTCTGGCCCCAGTATTTAGTCCTGTGCCCAGCATAGTGTTAAAGGAATAACGCTTTGGGCTGGTAAACTCCCAGTGATGTTCCACAAGGCCCCATGACACTGAGTTTTAGAAGTCCCTATTATATCTAATTTTCCAATACTTTTCTTCACTCTAGCTTCTTCTTCTGAGCAATTATTTATTTCCATTCCAAGCTTTTGCCTTCTTTTCTGTGATACCCTCTTATAGCACTGAACATGTCCCCCTCCAGGAGGTGTATGTTGAATCTGTGCTACAGATATTGTATCCCCAGCATGGCCTTACATACTATTTGTAAAAGTGGTATCAGGGGAGCTTAGCCTGTGTGTAGTGGATATAAGGTGTTACGTGGGCAGAGTGAAGAAGAGAAACTAGAAAGACTATTCTGGAAAGAAAGAAAAATTCTGGTAAGGGCTCATAAAAGCAAGAGCCCAAAACTACAGTGCCAAGAAAACATTTGTGAAAGAAAAGACTCAGTTGTGGGATGTGGGAAAGAGCTTGTGGAATGCAGAAGACACCAAAGAGAAATAAATGAAAGAATGGATTCCAGGCCGACTGGAGTGGATTAACTCATCATGCCAGTGAATATTTATTGAGACCTTCTAGGTTCAGGCTGCCATCCTGGGGGCCAGGGATGTCCTGGTAAATGAGACGGACACCGTCCTTGCCCTCCTGCATCTCAGAGCCTAGTACGGAGCCAGGTCTGAATGAAAGAGTCACATGAGTATATAAAAACAGCAAATGACTACTCTCTGTGATGATATGAGGTTCTGATCTATTCAGAAGGGTCGGGGAAGGCCTCCATAAAGAGGTCACTTTTGAGTTGAGATTCAAAGTAAGGAATAGTTAGCCAGGTAGAGGCAGGTGGGGCGAAGTGAAGAGCATTCTATGCAGAGGGAGTCACATGGGAAAAGCCTCTGTTTTGAGAGAGACCATGTGAAAACAGATGAAAGAAGGCCACATGGCTGGAGCAAGGAGGCATGGATGTGGGCTCGAGATATGGGATGGGTGAGAATCCCATACTGAAAAGAGACGCAGGCCATGAGAAAGATCATGGCCTTTACTGGAAGGATGGGAAGCTGATGGATGGGTTTAGCCAGTGAGTGACATGACCACATTTGCAGTTTTTAAGTTCACTGTGGTTGACACGTAGGGAATAGATAGTAGAAACAGGGTTCCCAGTTGGACAGTAATAGCTGAATCCAACTAGGAGATAATGGTGGCCTGGACAGCATGCTGGCTGGGGGATGGATAAACCGGAGAAGGATTAAGCACATAAAACGTACAGAAATTGGTCATAGAAACAATGTGGCAGGTGACAGGGGTTTTCAGTCTGGGGTCTGGGTTTCTGGATTGTGCAGCTAAGTGGCTGGTGGTGTCACCAGCTGGGACGTAGGACCACTGGAAGAAGACCAGGTAGGCACAGAAGAGAGCACATGGGACTTCGGGACAAAACTAGGCTTCACCACTCTCTAGTCATGAAAATGTCTGCCATTAGCTTCACCACTTGGAGCTCATTTGCTTCATTTGCAAAGTCAGCATAGTACAGTGATGCCTGGTCCATAGGGTTGTTGCAAGAATAAGAGGAAACAAAATATCTAAGCGTGTAATGCAGTTCTGGCTCTAAGCTTATGTTCCACAGACAACAGTGGTCATTGCGTTACTCAGGCTAGGTAACTAACTTTTTTGCACATCAGTTTTCTCATCTGTGGAATGGAAATAATAATGGTGGCTATACTGTGCTTTGCTGTGAAGGACAATGCACACACAGTGCCTGCTGCAGAGTGGATGCTCAATGCACTTTATTTATCAATACCAAAGTTCCAGAAATGTATCTGTTTCTGTTTGGCAGAAAGTGTAGGGAATAACTGTGTGAAGGAACCATAAGCAATATAATTGCTTCACAAAGACATTTGCCTATTTCTGTCAGTCTGTCTTTGCTAGCTTAGTCTTAGATCTAGACCTCCACTTTCCAATCCATAAAATGTAGATAAGGTTTTTTTCCATTTTATCTCCCAGTAACCATGGAGAAGATCATTGAAGAAAAGACCTCCCAGCAATTGGGGATATTTGTGCTGTTATGGGTACAATAGAGCCCTGCTTCTAAGCACACTCAGAGAAAGAGGACTTTCTCCTTCAAAAAACTCACAGATAACATCTCAGCCTCTGGGGAGGCAGGGACAGAGAAGCCAGGAGATAATGAAAGAGAAAGGGAGGAGGACAAAGACATAGCCTGGAGCTAACTGTGAAAGACAGTCGGCCTGCCTGCTGTCCACCCCTTTGCGGAAATGTCAAGTCAGAGCCCATCCACACTGATGAGAAATCAGATATAGGGACTGTGAGAGGGTACATTCCAAGGAGTAATTTATCTCTGGAGGCTGAAGCTATGTAATGTCCTTACTAATCTTGAGCTCCCGGGTTTTAAAGGCTGCCATTAGGGATGAGTTATATTTTCAATAAATCATTCTAGCTAATCAGACCCTCTCATCAGGAGCTGCTAGAGAAGACGACACGATGAACCCCTCTGCAGATCTGAGCAGGGGTCCCAGATGAGGAGAGAATCCTTGGCAAAGGCCTCTACCATAAATGGATTCTGCTATCTCCCCTCCCCTTGGAATTGAGCAGAGGGAAACACAGACTGCGAGCACAGGAAGATGACGGGATCTGTGTTTGATAAGGTTATGATTAAATCAAGGTTTTTGCTCTAATTACACTGCATTTAAATAAATGCAGCCTAGTAACTAATTGTAATTGATGTGCAATTAAACATGTATTTATATCACCATTGCCTTTCCCTGTGCAGCTGTCTGTTCCTGCTTCTTATTGTGGCTGGGGATACTGAAATCTGCCTGATAGGAGGAGGAAGCACCACTTCTCCCACGTGGATGCCATGTTCCAGTGATTCAGCAAGAGATCTACTGGGACAGTGAGAAATAGCTGGATTGCTTAACCCCAAATCTATGAGGAAGACCCACACATATCATTCAAGCCCTGGAACTCAAGAGGCACTCTTAGAAATGCCATTATATTCATAAACATATGGTGCTCTGGCTCTCCTTGGCTTTATACTAAGCTACTTGAGCTTTTTGTTTATCAGATTTGTGTATTCTTCAGTGTCTACCCCCTCCCCCTGTGTTTCACACATAATAGCTGCCCAATAACATCGTGGAAACGAACTTTAAATATCAGTGTGGAATCTTCCACTGAATATATATAATTTATGCTATTGAATTTAAGACTTAGACCTTGACCCTTTATTGGGAAAACTGGTAAAAATGATGCAGTAACAACAGCATCACAATAAGATCACAGGTCCTTCTTCCCCATATTTCCCTGTCTCTGCGTGCCCTTAACCTTTGAGCAGAAGACAAGTTTCTCATCTCCTCTGCATGCCAGATGGGCCACTAAACTAGGACCAGTGGGGGGGTGTAGCAAATCACAACTATATAAGATATCACTGAAGTCATCAAAAAGCAGTGATGGAGATCGAGGGCAGTTGAGGGGAACGAATTGCAACTATGTAATGTTTTTCATGCGAATCATCAAAAATCAGTGATGGTCTTTGAGCTGCTAGGCGGAAAGTCTGAGAATTTCTATACAGGAGATAAGACCCAGATACTGCAAGATGGAGAAAGAGGAACAGGTAAGCAATTGCATGAAGAGTCAAGCTCTATTTATATTTCAGTGAACATTTATCAATGGCCTTTGCTAGAATAAATTATAAGGCTGAAGAAGATACACCCTTAGAATGTTTCTAGTCTCCACTACCAAAAGTTAGAAAACTGGCTCAGGCAAAGGATGAAAAAATGGAAATAAAATCAGGTTGTGTGCATGTAACACTGGCTCCAAATTGACTGTTTATTTGGGACATAGATGAACATCATAATCCTTTGGCTTGACTCCCCTGCAGCCCTGATGGAACACATCCAGTTGGGCCTCCTGTCACCCATCAGAGTGCTAATTAAGGAGCCAGAGAAATACCACAGTTCACCTCATCTGTTTGTGTTCTTCTGCTGAAAGGACACCATGCATCTCCCTGACAGCTAGTCATTACAGGAGCATATGGGCATATCAGGCTTCTGCCAGGGACAGCTAAGCCCCTAAGAACCCAAGCAGAGCTCTGAGTTACGCTGGCCTGTACATGTCCATTACCACTCCAGTGATACAAAGGGATGTACACCCCCATCAACTAAGATGGCTAGTGCAAATTTTGACCTCCCAAAGGAGTGTAAGTGAGACACCGTGAATGGGATGACAGAGTTGGTAGAGAGGGAAAATGCAGAGGAGGGAGAAACAGCTAGATTTGTGTTATTGCAACTCTCTCAGTGCCATTTCAGACCCAAGGTACTTGGAAGGTGCAAAATGACTTTCTGCATATTTAAAAAAAAATTGCTGTCCTTTCCACTTTTACGGCTCTTGGGTATCGAGCATTTCCCTATGCAATATTTTCTTTGACCTTTATCATCTGGCAGAAATTATTATCTCTAAGTGACTAATTAAAAAAACACGGAGACCCAGTAAGGTTAAGGAATTCTTCAAGGTCATAGTACTGTGTAAATGACAGGGTTGGGAGTAAAACCCAGGTTTTCAGACTTTTAGTCCGATGTTCTTTAAAAGCCAGTCAAATGGGCACAAGCGATCTTTTGAGAGTGACAAATGTTTTAAAACTAGATGTAGCGATGGCTGCACAAGTCGGTAAATTTTTTAGAAATCATTACATGCTTTAAAAAGTTGAGTGTTACGGTATGTAAATTGTATTTCAATACAGCTCTGAAAAATAAAGGCAGCCAAGTGTAGTAAGTAGAGCCCGGGCTTTGGTGTCATTATTCTGTAGTGCAGATCCTGATTCCAGCTCTTCTGCCCTGGGCAACATTGGGTAAGTTCTTTAATTTCTTTAAAGATCAATTTCTTCATCTGTAGAATTGGAATAATATTCTCTACTTCCTAAGATTGCTGTGAGGATCTAGCACTAAAGCAATAATAGCTAATTTTATTTATTTCTGATGACTAGAAATCGAGATATAAAAAATAAGGTAATTAGCTCTCTACTGCTTGCTTAATTGCTAATGCTTATTTGTGGATCTTGTATGAGCATTAGACGTGTGAAACTATTTTGATTGTTTTGGTCAAAGGTCTAAATCAGTGCTTTTAATTGGCATTCAACTAGCAAATAACAGTGATTTGGCATACCAAGGAGAAATAAATCTTTGTTTTCTCCTAAACTACTTATTCTAAAACTTGACTGGTCATCTGGGGAGTTGTCAGAATTCTGATGCCTTGGCCCCACCCCAGATATTGTGATTTAATTGGCATGGGGTGTGGCCTGGGCTTTGAGATTTTTTTTGGAACTTTCCCATGTGATTCTAATTGCAGCAGAGTTGAAGAACAAAAACTCATTGGCTTTCAACTCTGACCACAAATGATTCACCTGGGAAGCTTTAAAAACAACGAAGCCTGAGCCTCGTGCCCAGAGATTCTGATTTAAATGGTCCAGGGTGAAGTCTGTGCACTTTAAAAGTTCCCCAGTTGATTCTAATATGCAACCAGGCCTGAGAGCCACTGCTTCAAACCTTTGCAATAGGCAAGATGCCTTCTAGGTAGGAGATAAGGGATCTACTCCATAGCAGCCTGCCTCATTCCTCTTCCCTGCTTCCAGGAAAGAGGTTCACAGGATGGCTTGTTGAGCCCTCCATTACATGTTGACCTGGGGTAACCAGCCATAGGCCTGCTCAGTGAAAAAAGCCCTGGGGCATTTAGAACCCCTCAAGGAATGTAGGAAGGATATTTTTAAATGAAGATAATGTACCTTGCAAAAAGAGGCATTGGGAGATCAGCTTCAGTGTTAAGTCACATAATCTATATAGTGTCTGGGGGCTTGCAGGTGGATCAGAATAGAGTTTCCAGATAGCAGGGGATGTCGTAAAGTGATTTAGGAGACTCTCAGGAAATGGACTGATATGGTTTGGCTCTGTGTCCCCACCCAAATATAATCTCCAATTGTAATCCACATGTGTCGAAGGAGGGACATGTACTCTCAGTGTGTGGAGAGAGGGAGGTGTTTGGATCGTGGGAGCAGTTTCCCCCATGCTGTTCTCACAATAGTGAGTGAGTTCTCACAGGACCTGATGGTTTTATAAGTGTCTGGCATCTTCTCTGCTTGCACTTCTTTCTCTCCTGCCCCTTGTGAAGAAGGTGCCTGCTTCCCCTTCCACCATGATTGTAAGTTTCCTGAGGCCTCTCCAGCCATGCGGAACTGTGAGCCAATTAAACCTCTTTCCTTTATAAATTACTCAGTGTCGGGTAGTATATTTATAGCAGTGTGAATACGGATGAATACATGGACCATCCATTCATCCATCCAACAGTGTTTATGTAGTAGTTCCCCTGCAGTAGCTGCCATGACAATGGTGAGCAAAACAGATGCAGTCGTCTTTTTACAACTAAACAATAAAAAATAAAAAATAAAAACCTGCCACTGCTGCAGGAAAACCATTCACCACAATGAGTCTGAACTTCCCACTACCTCCCTCTTTCCATATGAAATTCAAATCTCTGTTGGCCATTCCAGCAACTCGTGGAGAATATCTCCTGCATCCTTCATGTGTGCACACTTCTCAGGGACCCCACTGCTCACCATCCCCATGCCTTCCCCATCCAGGTTCAAGTTAATGCCCTGCCTTTCTTTCCTGCTACTGCCCATGCCTAGGCCCAGATTCTTTATTTATCAAGCTAGTTACCACTCTAGAGACTCTGAGGATGGAAGAATTTGCGGGTTTCATGAGTCAGATAGAACTAATCTTTGCAGATTTTATTGGAAAAACTTGCTCTTATAATAAAGATGTTTTCAGGAAATTCTGGGGATACAGAAAGTTGTGCCCACTGAATGGGTTTGATATATATCTTACCATTTCAAACAGACCTCCTGTTCTCAATGCCCAGGGAAGAGCAATGATGCTGTGTTCTTGACCAGGTGATGGACCTTTCTGTCCTCACTGTTTGCCCCCATCAAAACTGTTTAAAGCCCCCTCCTACAGGGTTAGGTGGGCAGAGTGAGCCAGTTCTAGTAGACTTGGTTTTGAGCTAGAATCAGTTCCTGCCCCAAATCCTAGAGATTTATAGTCTCAGGAATCAGAGAACCCATAGGTCCAGCTTTCAATTTTCTCCCAGGGCTTTATATGCAGCACTCCTTTCTTCCACTTCTTGCCCTCTTTCCCAAAATAGTAGATGAGGGTGACGCTATCAGGAAAGCACTTAGAAGGGATAAGAGCAAGTGATCTTTCCATTGCTGTGATTGGTGACATCACTCACCCTTAATCAGAAGGTCTAAAGCAACTTATAAATCCAGTCCCTTCAATAATTGACCAAAAAGCCTCTCCAAATGCATTATAGAAGTGATGGCAGAAAATTATTATTGATTTCCTATACTCCAGTTTCTTTATCAATAAAATGGGCATGGCAATAATTAATAAAATATTATGCTTCACACAGTATCTAAGTAATATAAATATTACCTATTACTATCAATGTTGACCAGAAGGAAACTATCTTTTCATTTTGTTTTGTTTTGTTTTTTAGCTTTTGGAATGATTACATGATATGCAGCATAGTAAGTAAATACTTGCTATATGACAAGTATTTTTTTCAGCATTTCTATTATCTCATTTAAGCCATACAACAATATATCATACAGGTATTCTTATCACTCCCATTTTATAGTTAAAGGAAATGGTCAAGGTTAATTTAGGTAACCCTATCAATAATGATTCTCTGTGTTAATAAGAATGTTTGGCAGAGCCCAGAGGAAATGAGGGTGGGAGGAAGATGGGTTTTGATGCAGAAAGAATTATCTGGAACAGGAGCAAACAAAACAAAGACAGGCAATGTGGGCGCAGTGGGGCACCCATGGTGTGAGGACGATTGGGTACTTGGTTCTTTGGCAAAGATCTGTTTATAAAATGGCATGTAGTCGGTGCTATAGGAAATGTGTGAAAAACAGGAAGGGGGCAGGAGCAGAGATAAGACTGGGAAGTCAAATAAAGCAATGCATATTGGTAATTTCTCCAACATTTAATCCATGCCATGTACAGACACTTTTTAATAAAATAATGGATGAAGAAATGAATAAGTAATGTCCATAGCCTAAGGCAGCAAGAATGTGACATCTTGCTACTTATCAAGCCTTGAAAATGACTGTCCCTTTTGAGCCCAGTTATCAGTACATTTCAGCTCCACTAAATAGGTGTTTTACACATGGGAAACAGCTGAACAGAGTTCTCTTATCATTTCCATTGAATGCGATTGGGTTGAGGGAGATTGAGCAACACACCAGCACATAGGTGACTACCTTTATGCAATGGAAACTACAAAGCAATAGCATTAAAGTTCCTAGGCCAAAATGACTGAACAGCATAGGAATGGAAAGATTAACAATTTTTTTCTTATTTTCCAAATTGTAAAAGACCAAAAAGACCAGCTCCTTCTATGACTTCTCATTAAAATTAAAGCGTGATGTCGACAGAGGCCTTACTCACTCTGTTTCTAAAGCAAGCACAGTGTTGCTGAGGCAGGAGAACCTTGCTGTCCTGAATGCTACCCAGCACACGCTGCCTAGGATGAGGATCTGGGCACAGAAGCTAATGGGAATCGCCCCTGCGGAGCACAGATACTAAGCCTGGCATAATCTGTGCCATGCCTGTCACTTCTGGAGCCTGTGAAAGAAACTGGCCAGAGCTGCTACTCTCTCTATTCTAGATATAATTCCACTTTTATCCATAATAAGGTCCATCAGGATTTGGGCAATTTTATTCTCACATGATTTGCAATTCTGATATTTTCCTTGTGATTGGCATAAGATCAGCCAAAAAAAAAAAAAAAGAAAGAAAGAAAGAAAGCCATCACCTTATTTTCATAGCTCTTTGTTCTACTTAGCAAATGCCCTCAGATTCAATAGCTGCTAGTAATTCTGATTTGAATTATTTAGCCCCATGCTGATTTGTGTGCAGGTCTTCTAGTAGAAGGAATGGCTACTTACTATGCCGAATGTGATCCCAGCGTGCATAGCAGCCTGGCCGCTTCAGCAGCCAGAGGAACTGCTTCTTAGGGACTCTTCCGAGGGACTTGCAATTTGCTGAGGCAAAGCAGAGAAAGCTGCATAAACTGAAACCATGCAACACTGAAATGTGCTGTAGATTGGAATCATTTAGAAGTTTACAGCACCAATCTTTTCTCAATCTCCTTCAGAACTGGCGATGGATAAGCAAGGCATGCTCAGATTAGCTTTCAATGAGAAAGCTCTCCTCACTAGACAGTGAGTAGCCCTGCATATTCAATCAACACTGAGCATTGGATCCAGAGGATCCCTGCTCAAACTCCAGTTTGGCCACTTAATAGCTCTGTTATTTTAGGCAGGTTGCTTTACTACAGTTGATTTCAGTTTCCTCATCAGTAGGGTTGCCAAGATAAAAGGGGTGGTAATTTGTAAAGCACCTAAAATTGTATCTGGAGCATGGAAAGTACTCGAGAAATATTGGCTATTATTGATATTATCACAATCTCCTTTTCCCCTATGTATATTGCTACCATAAAAAAGTTTAAAGATAAATATATTTGTGCTATTAATTCCAAATTTCTTCCATGGAAATTTAGTCTAATGCTTTGTCTCACTGTTTTTCTACCATGGATCATCAGCCAGAGCCCAAACAAAATCTATTAAAAGGCTCAACTCTCATTGCTGCCTATTGGAAAAAGGATGATATAGTCTTAGGTAACCCATTCTACAGAGATAAGTTACAACTGCTTGAATGACTGCGACCATACTTGAAGTATTATGTTTAGTTCTTGGGACCATGTATTATAAAGGGGTATAAGTAACCAAAGATATGGATCAAGATGATGAAGGGATGTGATACCATATAACAGAAATGAGCAGAGAATTTCATGTCTAATTAATGAGGAAAGTATGATAGTTACATTCTCATTAATTCTTTCACCTATTCCTTCTTTCCAAAATAATTTATTGAAACAGGGATTCTAATATGGCACAGTTTTTAGCTCAGCAAATTCTCTCCTTCAAAATCAGCTACAAAATTAGAAAAAAGTAAAAACTAAAAAATAAAAACCATTTTCAGGCTTTGGAAATCAACCAAATGCATACACAAAGTCGAGGAGCAGTTATTTAAAACAATACTGAACTTCTGGTGGGAAAATGGGAAGTCTGGCATTCTTGCTGTGGGTAGCTCCCACTTCCTGTCCCCCACTCAATTGACATAATAGTTCTAACAGAGTGGGTCCAGTCTGTGAAAAACAGAAGCTTCACTGAAAAAGAGGATTGACCTGATTTATAGCAAGCAGGAAAAAAACACCCCACACTAAGCAGCATTGTCCGTGTTTATAGGTATCTCTGTCACGAAGGAATGAATGAATGACCAGTCTCTCTGCAAGCCTGAGGTGAGGACCTAGTGTGATCAAGCAATAAAGCAGCAGACCAGCCAGAAACTGAACAAGGAAACCTGGGAGGCAAGACAGCTGGAAGGGGCCTCGGTAAGCTTTCTACCAGTCCTGAGCTGACTGGAAAGCTGTGCACACATTTAAGGTAGACTTAAGATAATCTAAGTTATCCACACATCACTGTCTGACTCCAAGTCTGCATACGTGTGCAAGAGGACGTGCAAAAAATAAAATCTGGAGCCAGCTTAAAAGATGGATGGGTCTGACTGTGCTCCCCAACACATACACAGATCCGTTGGCAGAGGGTAGAGACTTGTTAGATTGAGAGGTTGAGTGCAACCTCTCAAACATCATTGTTTAATTACTAAGCTATGCATAACTGCGTGGCCTTTAAAAATCCATGAATAAAACAAAAACAAAAATTTTCAAAACTTGAGTAGAAACAACAGCAGCCACCTATGAAGGGGAAACAGATGACAAAGACTTAGTCAAAGCAAGTTACCAAAAAACAAAACAAAAGCAGCAAAACCAAATATCATTGGGCAGAGAAGGCATATCAGAATTCAGGGTTAGCACAATGCATTATCTACAATTTTCCAGCTTTCAGTAAGAATTCTGATACAAAGAAAGAAGAAAGTATGACCCTTATTCAAAAGTGAAAGAACAAGCAGTGATTAGAAACTGTCTTTGAGTGGGCCTATAGATTGAACTCAGCAGAAAAAGACTTCAAAGTAGCCATTATAAATATGTTCAAAGGACTAAACAACACTATGCTTAAATAAAGAGAAATATGATTAATTTCAATGAAGCAATAGAAATTATGAAAAGAACCACATAAAAATTCTGGAGTGGAAGAACATAATAACTAAAATAAAATGTTATTAAAGGAACTCAATAGTAGAATTAAAATGTTAGAAGACATAATCAGAAAATTTAAAGATAGATCAATAGAAATTATTTAATCTGAAGAACAGAGAATAAAAAGTAATAACAGATAAAAAATGGAAACTTAAAGGGTGTCAATACATACATTTTAGAAGACTCAGATAAAGGAGGAAGAAGAAAGGCCAGAAAAAGAATATGAAAAAGTAATGGATACAAATTACCCAAATTTGGCTGGGTGTGGTGGCTCACGCCTGCAATCCCAGCACTTTGGGAGGCCGAGGCGGGTGGATCACTTGAGGTCAGGAGTTCGAGACCAGCCTGGCCAACACAGTGAAACCTCGTCTCTACTAAAAATACAAAAATTTGCCAGGTATGATGGCGCACACGTGTGGACCCAGCTACTCAGGAGGCTGAATCAGGAGAACTGCTTGAACCCGGGAGGCAGAGGTTGCAGTGAGCCAAGATGGCGCCACTGCACTCCAGCCTGGGTGACAGAGGGAGACTCCGTCTCAAAACAAACAAACAAAGAACAACAAAAAAAAACTACCCAAATTTGATTAAAAGTAGTAATCTGTAAGACAATGGAACTCAAATTCTAAGTAAGATAGACACATTGTAACCAAAATGTTCACTGCCAAACACAAGTAGAATTTCTCCTTATGTACAGATAAAAAGAATATAAAATTAATGGCAGACTTCTTATCAGAAACAATAGCAGTCAAAACAGTGAAATGACATGCTCGGAGCAATGAAAGCAAAACGATCACACAAAAAAACTGTCAACTATCCAGGAACACTATCCTTCAAAAATGAAAACAAGACATTGCCAGACAATCAAAGCTTGAGAGAGTGCTTTTCTAGCTGAGATGTCATACAGGAAATACTGAAGAGTCATTTAAGTTGAAGAGAAATAACACCAGATGGTAAAAATCCACATGAAGAGACAAAAAGGAAAAGAAAATCTAAGTATATGTGTAATTGTCATCCAAAAGACTACCAGGCTGGCTAAATAGAAAAGAGAGTTTTATTGGCAATATCAGTTTGCAAACTGAAGGAGACAGTCTCAGGCATGTGTCGAAGGTGCTCTTTCTTTCAAGAGGGAAGAAGGTAAGTTGGCTTTTATGCTTCACTGGGTCTGTGTCACACAATAGAGTCATACATATTTAGCAGGTTTGGGAGAAAAGATATACATATTTATGAGAGAGGATTGAGAGAATGAACAATGGGTAAATATTTACCAGATTTACCAAACACAATTTACCAAAATGGATTCATGAAGAAATAGAAAATACAAATATATCTATAACAAGTAAAGAAATTAAGTTAGTAAATAGGTATTCTTTTATCAAGAAAACCCTGGGCGCAGATGGCTTCACTGGTGCTCTATCAAAAAAGATGAAATAATACTAATCTTTCACCAACTCTTTCAGATAATTGAGATGGAGAATACATTTCTCAATATATGGGGCCAGTATCACTGTGCTAACAATGCCAGATCAAAAGAATAAAGTAAAATACAGATCAATATCCTTCATGAGTATAAACACATATTATTAGCAAACCAAATTGGGCAAAGCATTAAAAAAAGGATTGTACATCATGACTAAGTGAGATTTATCCTAAGAATGCAAGGTTGGTTTAAAATTCACAACTCAGTTCATACGGTAAACAATAGAGTGTACACTGTATTGTGTACAGTGCATAGTATAAAGGACAAAGAGAGTACAGTCATCTCAATCACTGCCTATAAAAAGGATTTAACAAAATTAACCACCCTTATTCATGTATTAAAAAATTCAATATTAAGATGACAATTTTCCTCAAACTGATTTATACATTCGAAGTGATATATATCATAATCTCAACAGACCTTTTGTAGAAGCTGACAAATAGATTTTAAAATGTACATTGAAATGAAAATTACCAAGAATAGCTAAAATTATTATGAATAAAAAATTTGGAGGACTTTGATTTTAATACTATAAATCTACAGTAATTAAGACAGCAAGCACTGCATAAAAGTGTAGACCAATCAAAGATTAGAATAAATTCTTACATATATGCTTAACTGATTTTTGACAAAAGTATAATTCAATGGGAAAAAAGCTAACCAATAAATGATACTAAAGCCATTAGATATCCACATGTAAAATAAATAAACAAAAATTAACTTACACTCTTACCTCATACGATACATATAAATTGACTCATAGAACATAAGAGCAAAAACTATCAAACTCAGATGGAAATATAGGACAAAATTTTCATTACTTTGGGCAAGCAAAAATTTCTTAACTACAATACCAAAAGCATGATATATAAGATTAAAATTGTCATTTTGGATGCCATCAAAATTAAACATGTTTGTACTTCAAAAATACCATAAAGAAAATAAAATGCAAGCCACAGACTGGGAGACAATATTTGAAAATTATGCATCTGACAAAAAATTTGTATCCAAATATATAAAGAATTCTCACAACTCATTAATAGGTAGACAAAAATCCTAATTAAGAAATGGGCCAAATATTCGGAGAGGGATTTCACCAAAGAAATACATGAATGGCTAACAGGCATAAGAAAAGATGCTCAATATCTTTAGTTGTTAAGGAAATGCAAATGAAAACCACAAGGTGATACCACTATACAACTCACTAGAATAGCTATAGTAAAGATAGACAATGACAATTGTTGACAAGGATGTAGGAAAACTGGAACCCTCATTCACTGCTTATGAGATTGTAAAAGGTACAGCCACTTAAAGACGTTTGGCAGTTACTTAAAAGTGAAACGTATCTTACCATACAACCCAACAATTTCACTGCTAGTAAAACTGAAACATGTCCACACAATGATTAGTATGTGAGTGTTCACGGCAGCATTATTTATAATATCCCCAAGTTGTAAACAATCCCAATTTGTATAAACTGGTGCATGGATAAACAAAATATGGTATACCCATACAACAGAACACTTTTCAGCCATGAAATAGGAACCAGCTACTGATAAATGCTATAAGATAGATGAATCTCCAAAACCTTATGCCATGTGAAGGAAGCCAGAAGACTACATATTATATGACACTATTTATATAAAACTTCCAGAAAAGAAAATCTGTAAGAAAGTAAAGATTAGTAGTTGTCTGGGCTGGGACTAAGAGGAGGGTGGAAGGATTAACTCCTGGCGGACACAAGGAAAATAGGGATGATGATAATACTGTATTCTAAAACTGGATTCTGGTGATGATTTCATTACATACATTTGCTAAAAATCATTGAGCCTTACGCTTACCTTGGATGGAAATTTATATAGTATGTGAACTATACCTCAATAAAGCTAAAAAAAATCTTCAGTATATGATTCTTGAAGGTCAAGGTCTAGCCATCAAATTCAGTTACAAGTCTTTAATTCAAGCAGACATGTAATTAAGGTTGAAAGGAGAAATCATTCGGCGTTGCCTTATTTCCCTGCCTGGGGGACAATGTTTGCAGTACCTCCTTCTGGATAACTTCATAAAAAGGACCAAACATACAAACAAAAAAAAACGGGGTCTTGATTTGGTTAACCTACCAGTATTAAATGCTCATTAAATAGCCTTACCCCAAAGGTTATGTTAAAATCCAACCCCTATCTCTTTTTCATACACCCACCCTTACCCTTCTTGCCTTAACATCCAGACCTTTCACCATTTGTGAATTATTTTTTAAAAAAGAAAAAAAAAAAGTCCTGGCTTCAGTGTTGCCTGCATGAAACCTATACTATTCTTGCTGCTGGAACATCCATGACTCTCTCTACAGCAGGGCCCTCAAAGCTGAGTGAAGTCTTGCTGATCCAATGTGCTCATCCTTTGAAGATCCTTGTGAGAAGCATCAGGCTGTGGTAAATGCAGATGCATGACCTTTAAGCAACTTGCTTTTTCTGTTGTTGCCCATTAAGGATGCTATCATTATTTACCCATCTGTAGTTTTGAGTGAGAGCCACTCACTCAAAGTGCTTGGTAGACGGCCCCCAAATCTACCTTGAATGTCCCAAAGTATGATATCTGACCTGTTTGAAGGAGCCCTAAAACCCCACCTTGGGTGCAATTACATAGGCTGGAGGAGTTGCAAGCATTTTCCAGATTGAATTGTCTAATGAGATCATTAAGGAAGCAAAGGGGAGGGAGTGTAACCCCGCTAAAGACAATTAGGAAGACTATACCTCTGACTGAATTGCAGGCATCACTAATCCAACAGGTCTAATCACCAGGCCTCATAGCAGAGCTGAATCCTCTGCTTCCAGTTGGAGAGAAAGAATGTGTTCTCCCAGAGAGCATTTGGAGAATTGAAAGAATTAAGGAAAAATACATTATTCCATTTGGATTCAGTACTAATTGGAATGAGCCAAATAATCAGCCCACCAGCATGAAGCATACTCCTCACTTTCCTGCTGCAGAGAGGAGCATTTCTTTATATTAGCATGAGCCCATGTCCTCTTCATCAATGGTTAGATTGCCTGTTTCTCCAGAGAACCCTGTGGAATGTTCCCATACCATTTTTCCTGCCAGCCAGTTTCTAATTCAAAGAAAGAAAATCTCTTAATTACACTGAAATAGAAATGGAAGACCAGCCCCATGGCTGGGCCAGACTCTGCCTGCCACAGAGCTCAGGCAGAGATGACTGCAATATCACAGAGCAGGTTTCAAAGGTTTGATTTATTAGAGTGAAATTGATCTATCTGAGGAGCTCAGAGTCCAGTATAAAGGTTTTCAGTGATTCCTATACCACCATTTCAATAAAAGCTTTCCAGTTCTTAAAAGCAAAAACACTCAAGGCAGGTGAAGTTGCACTTTTTTTTTTTTTTTAATATCGATGGCTGAGGACTCATGCCCTTCCTGAAGAATGAACACTTAAATCTTTCACACTCTCAATGAGAACTAGCAAAGCAAAGCAGTTTCCTCTAGGTAAGAATTTAGATTGTATTTTTTTCTTCTGCAAGATCCAGAGTTTCAGAATCTTCTACCACCCACATACTCATCCATCCATCCACCTTAATGTGCCTTGTCTTCATTGTCTAATATGAGCCAGACTCTGTTAATTGGTTTATTCCACTTTACAGATGAAGAAATGTAGTCTGAGAATTCTTAAATAACTTGTTCAGGTCCCATATTTAATAAGTGGTAGAGCTGGTATTTAAATCTGATTTGTCTGACTCTATTTTTATTTTTATTTTTTGAGATGGAGTTTCACTCTTGTTGCCCAGGCTGGAGTGCAATGGTGCCATCTTGGCTCACCACAACCTCCGCCTCTCTGGTTCAAGCGATTCTCCTGCGTCAGCCTCCCAAGTAGATGGGATTACGGGCATGCACCACCACACCCAGATAATTTTTGTGTTTTTAGTAGAGACAGGGTTTTTTCCATGTTGGTCAGGCTGGTCTCAAACTCCCGACCTCAGATGATTCACCCACCTCGGCCTCCAAAAGTGCTGGGATTATAGGCACGAGCCACTGCGCCCAGCCAACTTTTCTGACTCTAGAGCTCAAATCGTGAGATGTGTGTTGGGAATGCCAAATTTTGAAGACAGATTGATTAAAAGTAAATTAAAAAATAAATTAAAAAACATTCATAGGTCTTTCGAGACTAACATCACAGCAAAATATTTTCTGCAATTCTTACCTGTATTTGGCATGTGTCTATACATTTTTCCAAATAGAATTGTGCACCTATTTCATCATTTTCCCTCACTGCCCCTGACCCCTTATACTCCATCTCCTCTCTCTTCTTTGCTAACAAAATCCCTCTGGAAAAGATCCAGTCAATTCAAAATGAATGATACATGCCTGGGTGGTCTCAGCAACACTTGTATTTTATCTGTTTGGTCAACTGCCATCTTTCTTCTAGTTAAAGGGGAGCTGCCAAAGAAATGCTGAGCTGCCTGTAGGGGCTGAGTGTGGAAAAATACTGTCATTCATCCTTGCTGCTCTATTCTCTCCAAGTGTACGCATCGCTGGGCTTGTCCTAGAACCTTCTGATGGTAGGGAAGAAATTTCAAAATTATTACTGAAAAAAAGTAATCTTGTAGTCTCATTTTTCATAGATAACTTTTTTTGGCATAGGGCTTTTGACTGTTGTTTGTGAGTTGCAGTAGAAAGATTGTGCACCTTCCATTGAAGAAGCTTTCTGTTTAAGTTCTGGAGAAATAGCATGGTTGGGACATGACCTAGGGAAACACAAAAACTGGGGCATAGTTAATTCAAACATGTTGGAGGAAAAGAGGAAGCAAGAGATAAAAAGAAGATGAGAATAAAATAATATACCTGTCTAAGAATAGAACATGCATTTGCGACGGGTGTGGTGGCTCACGTCTGTAATCCCAGCACTTTGGGAGGCTGAGGTGGGTGGATCACCTGAGGTCGGGAGTTTGAGCCTGGCTAACATGGTGAAACCCCGTCTGTACTAAAAATACAAAATTAGCTTGGCATGGTAGTACACGCCTGTAATCCCAGCTACTCGGGAGGTGAGGCAGGAGAAATCGCTTGAACCACGGAGGCGGAGGTTGCAGTGAGTCGAGATCATGCCATTGCACTCCAGTCTGGGCAACAGAGTGAGACTCTGTCTCCAAATAAAATAAAGTAAAATAAAAAGAATAGAACATGCATTTGGACAGAGCATCCTGGGTTGCATCTTTTGGGAGCTTAAGCTTGGTCCAATTTCCACACAGTGTCATCTTGGAGCAATAAGAATACTCCATCTCTCAACTTACTAAAATGTTACCTCTACCACTGAAGAGAGATTTATTTGTCTGTGACTTGCCCTCTTGATGAAATGAAAACTGCTTAACTCTAGTTAAAGTGTTAAGAGAGAGAAGAAAACAACAACCAAAATTCTGTACCCTATGTTGACAAACGCAAAGATTTGATGAACCCAAGGAATTTAGAATTCACATTAATTAGATTTCAGAATTGAAGCCAGTCATGGGTATTGACAGATACTGTGCATACCTCAAATTTTGAAATATGTTTCTCTCCCAATAAAAATATGATGCTCCATGTAACTGAGGAAAATTATTTACTGAGATACTATAAACCTTCTGCCCAATCAGATATAAGAAAGTTGTGACTTGCCTGGAAAGGTAGATATGCATAAAAAATTCATAGAAGTCTGAGTTAGGATTTGATTTGTATAAACATCGTGGTTATGGTAAGGGGAATCTCAGAGGAATAAAAGTAGAGGAGTTAAATGATATGAAGCTGGAACCCAGCTTGACTGGGTTGAATGGTTTTTGCCCTAGATCCCTGAAAGGAATTAGAAGGAATCCTCTCTTCTTTTCACCTATCTATCCTATATGCCAGAATTCCTTGACAGGAGGCAATTTTGGTACTCAGGAGACGTTTGGCAATATTTAGTTGTCATATTTAGTTGTCATATCTGCTAAGGGATGGTGGGTGGGGAGTCTGCAACTGACATATAAGGGGAAGAGGCCAGGGATACTGCTAAACATCCTACATAATCCCTAATAACAGAATATTATCCCACCTAAAATATCAGTAGTGCGAAAGCTGAGAAACCCTGCTACATATGGACAGCAAATAGAGACAGCAAGAGAAACTCCAGAGCTTTGTGAATCAAACTGATAAATTTAACATGCAATGGATCCAATAAGAAATATGCAGACATCACCTTCAGAGGATGAGGGCCCCTATGGCAGAGAGCAGTAAGAATAGGATTTGATGAAATAGTTGCTTGTCTGACGATTACTAAAGCAAGACTTTTTCACTAGAATGTATGTAGAAAATCAGCAGAGTAGAGGCCAATATTGGAAGTCCTCATTCATGGCTTTTCAGAGAACAAGTTGCTCTGTCCCAGAATTTGGTTTTCTTGTCTTTTGATGTTGCAACTCCTAAATGAGAGATGAATGCAGCTGGGTGTTCATTTACTGTCAACAATGTAATCTTCTAACCAGTATTTCTCCTCTCTCTGCTTGCATTCTACACTCACCAAACAACCTTTGGATTATAATATGGCTTCTCATATGTGTAGGTTCTCCTGGAAGAAGAGAACGTGCTGACCAAGGAGATTAAATCATTCTAGTCTCCTCTGCTGCTACATTTCTTTCTTTTTTTTTTTTTTTTTTTTTTTTTACAGGATCTCATTCTGTTGCCCGGGGTGGAGTGCAGTGGCCATAGCTCTAGCTCATTGAACACTTGAACTCCAGGGTCCAAGCAATGCTCCCACCTCAGCCTCCCGAGTAGCTGGGACCACAGGCATGCACCACCATGTCCAACTATTTTTTTAAATTTTTTTTTGTAGGGATGAGGTCTCACTATGTTGCCCTGGCTGGTCTCAAACTCCCGGGCTCAAGCAGTCTTTCTGCCTCGGCCTCTCAAAGTGCTGGGATTACAGGCATGAGCTACCATGCCTGGCTGCTGTATTCTCATCATGATATTATCAACTGACATTTTGATTTCTTTATCAGATGAAACTTTGTCAATTTGATGTAAGCCAGTGAGGCACCCCAAAATCTGAGAACCCAGCCTTAGATCATGGTGAACTTGCTAAGATAATGTCACCACGGACAGACAGTCAAACGTTATTCCTGGGCCATATATTTTCCATAGACTAGAACTTGCAGCAGCAGAAATACGAAATGGTTGAAAAAATGTAATCTAATGTCCAGCCTTTCCACACTTTAAAAAAATTATTCTAAAGGAGGGCTATGAAAAAGAATAAGGGTATATTATACAAACACTCTATAGCCTCTTCTATAAGAAGCTTGGTATATAACACACTAACTTACAGGCCAGTGATTTGTCTTTTTATATAAAGAGCACTGTGTTCAGAGCAGGAATAGAATGTAAAATCTTTCAAAGGAAAAATATAAACATAAGATTTTTTTTTTTTTAGGTTACAGAGCAATTAGGGCTAATTTGGTCAAACAGCCAAAAAATTCCCAAATGGCAAGGTAAAAATCTTCTTGTGGGAATGCCTTGAGGTAAAGCCAATTCAATTAGTTTCCATAGCATAACTGTCAGGACCCAAAAACTAGGTGAAATAATGAACTGATTAAAACCTGTAATTGCAATTCAATGGAGGAAACGATTCATCATGAAGATGGCAGTGTTCCCTACATTCCGGATTGCACAGAGAACAGATGCAAACAAAGGTAGGAAGAGGGGGCCCAGTGTGAAATGGAAGGGAACTAAGTGTCTCTTAGCAAGAGAATACAGAACTAGCCTGAAAGAAAGGTTGGTCTTCAGCCAGTAAACTTCTGATTTCTGAGCTAACCACTGAAATGTAGTCTTCTCTCTCACGCTCTAATCCAAAACCATTTTGAGGATACACTTCTAATTTGGTCACTATCAAATTTCCTGGATTTTACCCAAAGAAAACACCAGTCAATGCTCTCATTTCTCCCCCTGACATTTTGCAGCTCTTTTTCTCACACAGTTTCTATTTTTGAGTACATATTGCTGTATATCAAGAATCAGTAAACTTTTTCTGTAAAGGGTCAGACAGCAAATATTTTCAGCTTTGGGGGTTATACCATCTCTGTCGCAGCTCCTCAGCTCTGCCTTTTTGACACAAGAGAAGCCATAAAAATATGTAAACAAAAGGCTGTGGCTGTTTTCCCATTAAAATGTATTTATAAAAATAGGGGGTGAGCCAAATTTGGCCTGGAGGCTGTAATTTGGTGACCCTTGCTTCATATACACAACAATAACTCAGAATTTGTAAGGCAAATAAACAAATAAAATAAATGACCAGCATGCAATAGTATTCAATTGGTACTAGAACGTCCTTGGTTTCTTGGAAGGCTTAGTAGTCATTTTGTACTAAATGGCATTTTTTTTTTTTTTTGATAGTCAGGAAGTCTTCTGGAACAGCCTGTAATAAAAGTGGTAATCTTGGGGATGTATATGCAGGGATCCTGAAGTTGTATAGACTGTGAAATGCGCTAAGAATATTTAGTTTCATGCATTCATTCATTTACTCACTCATCAATTTTTATTTGGGGAAAGGAGTGTGTGTGGCTGTCTTCCAAGCCCTTTTCTAGGTGCTAGAGGTGTAACTGTGAGCACTGCAAAATTAGTTCTTGCTCTTTTGAAGATTATATGTAGTATGAGGAAGCAGATAATGAACAGATAAATATATAAGCAAGATAGTTTCAGATAATGAAAATTAGCATAAAGGAAACAAAAGAGTGATGTTACAGGGACAAGACATAGCAGGAATGGCTACTACTATCTGGGAAGTTGCAGAAGGTCCCTCTGAGATGGATTCTTTCAGCTGAACCCTAATGATTAGAAACCTCCTGTAAAAAGATTAAGGCACTAAAC
The DNA here is from genome assembly GCF_000001405.40 of Homo sapiens. Taxonomy (NCBI): domain Eukaryota; kingdom Metazoa; phylum Chordata; class Mammalia; order Primates; family Hominidae; genus Homo; species Homo sapiens. The sequence continues at coordinate 86,836,745 of NC_000015.10, read as the reverse complement.
AAGAGAACAAACACTAGTATGACTGGAACATGTGGTGAAGGTGAGGGGGAGGGTACCCATATGAGGTGAGAGAGGCAGGCTAGAGCTAGGTCACTGGGACCAGGATAAAAATTTTGAATTTTATTACTAATGCAAAGGGGAGGTATTGTATGGCTTGAAGGAGAAGATAATATAACTAGACTCCTTAAAGGAGAGCTTGTCTTGGGGTGAGAACAGACTGTTGGAGGACCTGAGAAAAAGTAGAATCTGAAAGGTAAGTTAGGATACTATTGCCTGATGTCGGTGTGTCTGGAGTATTTCTTTCATCCATTACACTGTGTTAATTAATTTAGAGTTGAGATAGTGTAAATTGGTACGCTAATACCTCTGAAAAAATTGCTTCTACTGAAAGGACGAAGATCTGAGAGCTGGTTCTTTGTTATCTTAACTCTTAAGTCACTGACCTTCTCTACTTCCCCGCCTTGATTTCATCAGGTTCTATTTTCAGGGCTACCCATGGGGCCTATTGAACAAATAAGCTATTGGACTTCAGAGCATAATCTCCAATATTTTAAAGTCAGTGAATATTCTTTTCATCCAGTACCAATTTCCAGATTTTTCTTTAAACAGGCAATCTCTGTTTAGCTGTATAAAAATGAACTTCTGCCTCTCATGTTTGCAAGGGTAGGAGAGGTTTTCTTTCTAAGACTGCAGAATATAAATAAATATAGTTTAGTCAAGGGATAAGCTAGAAGCAGCATGTTCTTGTTCAATAGCAGACTTGATGAAAGATAAGAAACTGTTTTTCCTTCACTTTGTGTGTGTGATCTGGCCCATAGACCTGTGTGAATGAAAGAAGATGGACTTTTCTTGATAGGAGCCAATGGATCGTACATACATGGATCATACACATATTTCTGTGCATGATGGCAGGTCCAGCTTCTGATATCTGCTCCACACCTACCTCCTTCCCAGCTAATGCCCTGCACCCTTTGTTCCCTGCCCAGGTCTCCTACTATAGTCGTTTATATCCCAATCCTTGTAAACTTTCAGCTCAGACCCTAACTATTCATCACTTTTACCCTAGCCATATATTTCACCTACTAACTTGTTAGGGAAATTCCCTCACCCTGTGACCAGGTCTTAATTTTTTTCCTTCTACTTCTTCCTCTCTCTCTCTCCTCCCTTTTTTTGAACCTGCTTACCAGAAACACCATAGACATCTCTTATAGAATGCTTTTTCTACGGTATTTCCAAATGGCAGAACAGTGTCCCTACACTGGTCTATGCCACGCTAGAAGGCAACAGCCTTTTACTTACTCTCACTGAGTAATTATCAAATCACCTCTCCTGATCATTTATAGTTCAGGACTCCGTTAAACACCACCCCATTCAAACCATTACTGCTTAATCTACAGGATTGATTTTTACCATCCCAACTGTTTTCAGCAACTAGATCATGTCTTCTATTAAATACATTAATTAAGATCTAGATTTTAAGCCAGGCTGATCTAGGTGTGAAAGACCTAGATATATGATCCCAGCGAGTTGCTTCACTTCTTTTTGCCTCAGTTTCTCATCTATAAAATGGGGATCAAATAGTATACACCTGTCTTAGCCTGGACTACCCAGAAAAAAGAGCCTGAGGCCACTAGTTAACCCTTAAATGTAATACTAGGGAAGCAAGAGCCTGGAAAAGGGAAGTGACTCAGACAAGAGAGTCCATATGTAGGTACCTTACTAAACTGTTCACTGCATGGTAGCAAGTGAACACAATTGCTAAATATCGTGGGATTGCCTTTAGAGTAGTCTTAAGAAGTACTGCTCCTCAAGACAGTCCATAGGAAAGGAAAGAAGAAGAATTTATCCTCTGGATCCCACGTTTCATAGGTTTTCCCCAAAGGAAATTAACTTCCCCACACCTCTGGCTTGTGCATGCCATGTAGGTCTCATAGCATCTCACGCTTTAGTGTCAACGGAGAAGCTCCAGAGTCGAAGGTGACAGTGGCCTGGCATGGACAAGTTCTATTGGGTTGTATCCATGTGAAGTGGGTCAAAGTCCATGCCGAGTTGGCTCCCTAGTGGTAACTGGGCAAAACACGCAGCCTAGAGACACATAAGGTCAAAAGGATCAGAGAGGGTACATAAGGAGGTGCCTGATACAGTGTTCCCCTAGCAGCACTCAGATCCACACATGCCCTCTTACTATTCCAGCCTCTCACAATACAGAGGTACTTCTATTTTTATGAGCAGATCCTAATTTATCCCTAAGAGGGCCTGTAAATTATTCATGGAGCTCTCTTTAGCTGGTGGCAGCTATGATTTCTGAGAAGGATTAAGGCAAGAGTGTTTATGAAACAGGTTAAATTCCCTGGTGCCATAGAGCTGATTCTGAGACCATGACATTCATGATCTCCCTTCTCTACTTCCCTTTTTTGATTTCTTGCACACTGAGCTGGTCTGGGTTGCTTGCCTGATGGAGTGACTCAGAACTTTATCCCTATAGGGACTGAACTCTTAGTTACCTTGCATCTATTATTGGGATACCGTGGTTGCTGCAAACACTTGTTTTTACCTTTGTTTTGGGGTACAGAAGCACAAACAGATGCCCCATTGAATCCTCTGGTATCCCGACATAGGGCTTCCTTGTCTCCATTGTGTAGGAGAAACTATAATGCCTCATAGTGATCAAAGTCAAGCACCCACCTCCAGCAGAGTAGCTCTTTTCTTGTTTGCTGGCTCATAAGCCTAATATGGGCTTATGAGAGTTGTAGCTTTCAGTTCTGCAGGAAACTAAATGTGTCCCCTGGCACCAGACTTCTTTTTTGGGAAACTGAGGGTCTTTAATTAGGAAGAGGCTGAGTTTTCAAGGGTGAAAAACAAAATAGAAATTGAGTTGACAGGAGTGAGGCTGAGATGTGTAAATTCTATTTTTGCACACTGATTTCTGGACCCATGTATCTTAAGTACTGGGGACATAGCACTATGTACTCTTGTTGATTCTGGGCATGTTCTCAATCAAAGAAAATAGTGTCCCAGCTGTTCGTGATGTTGTTCTGAGATGCTGCTCTATTTGAGCTTTAGCAGGCTATTCCAGCATTCTTTTGGTCTGAAATGTGGTGATGGAGTACTGTATTAGTTCGTTTTCATGTTGCTGATAAAGACATACCTGAAACTGGGAAGAAAAGGAAGTTTAATTGGACCTACAGTTCCATATGGCTGGGAAGGCCTCAGAATCATGACTGGAGGCAAAAGGCAAGTTTTGCATGGCAGCAACAAGAGAAGAGTGAGGAAGAAGCAAAAGCAGAAACCCCTGATAAACCCGTCAGATCTTCTGAGACTTACTCACCATCAGGAGAATAGCATGGGAAAAACCAGCCCCCATGATTCAATTACCTCCCGCTAGGTCCCTCCCACAACACGTGGGAATTCTGGGAGGTACAATTCAAGTTGAGATTTGGGTGGGGACACAGCCAAACCATATTAAGTACATTACATGATTTGTGAATCTCATGGGCATGTGCCCAAGGACATACTCTTTTTGCCATTAAATGGGTGATATGGTTTGGCTGGGTCCCACCCAAATCTCATCTTGAATTGTAGCTCCCATAATGCCCATGAGTCATGAGAGGAACCCAATGCGAAGCAATTGAATCATGGGGGCGGGTCTTTTCCATGCTGTGATTAAGTCTCACGAGATGTGATGGTTTTATAAAGGGGAGTTCCCCTGCAAATGCTCTCCCTTGCCTGCTGCCTTGTAAGACATGACTTTGTTCCTCGTTTGCCTTCCATGATGATTGTAAGGACTCCCCAACCATGTGGAAATGTGAGTCCATTAAACCTCTTTCCTTTATAAATTACCCAGTCTATGGTATGTCTTTATTAGCAGCATGAGAACAGACTAATACAGTAAATTGGTACCAGTAGAGTGAGGTGCTGCTATAAAGATACCTAAAAATGTGGAAGTGACTTTGGAACTGGGTAACAGGCAGAGGTTGGAACAGTCTGAAGGACTCAGAAGAAGGCAGGAAGATGTGGGAAAGTTTGAAACTTCCTAGACCTTTGTTGAATGGCTTTGACCAAAATGCTGACAGTGATATGGGCAACAAAGTCCAGGCTGAGGTGGTCTCAGATGGAGATGAGGAACTTTTTGGAAACTGAAGCAAAAGTGTGACTCTTTCTATGTTTTGGCAAAGAGACTGGTGACATTTTGCCCCTGTCCTAGAAATCTGTCAAACTTTGAACTTGAGAGAGATGATTTAGGGCATCTGGTGGAAGAAATTTCTAAGCAGCAAAGCATTCAAGAGGTGACTAGGGTACTGTTAATAGTATTCAGTTTTATGTATTCACAAAGCTATGATGGTTGGAATTGGAACTTATGTTAAAAGGGAAGCAAAAAATATAAAAGTTCAGAAAATTTGCAGCCTGATGATGGAGTAGAAAAGAAAAACCCATTTTCTGAGAAGAAATTCAAGCCGGCTGCAGAAATTTGCATAAGTAACGAAGAGCCAAATGTTAATCACCAAAACAATGGAAAAATGTCTCCAGGGCATCTGAGAGGTCTTTACAGCAGCCCTTTCCATCACAGACCTGGGGGCCTAGGAGGAAAATATGGTTTCATGGGCCTGGCCCAGTGCCCTGCTGCTTTGTGCAGTCTCGGACTTAGTGCTCTGCATCCCAGCCATGGTTAAAAGGGGCCGACATAGAGCTCAGGCCGTTGCTTCAGAGGGTGCAAGCCCCAAGCCTTGGCAGCTTACATGTGGTGTTGGGCCTGCAGGGACACAGAAGTCAAGAATTGAGGTTTGACAACATTTGCCTAGATTTCAGAAGACGTATGGAAACACCTGGATATCCAGGCAGAGGGGTGCTACAGGGGTGGAATCCTCATGGAGAACCTCTGCTAGGGTAGTGCAAAAGGGAGATGTGGGGTGCAAGCCCCCACACAGATTTCCCCACTGGGGCACTGCCTAGTGGAGGTATGAGAAGCAGGCCACCACCCTCCAGACCCCAGAAAGGTAGATCCATTGACAGCTTGTACCATGTGCCTGGAAAATCTGCAGTCACTCAATGCCAGTCCATGAAAGCAGCCAGGAGGGAGGCTATATTCTGCAAAGCCACAGGGGCAGAGCTGCCCAAGACCATGGGAACCCACCTCTTGCATCAGCATGACCTGGATGTGAGACATGGGGTCAAAGGAGAACATTCTGGAGCTTTAAAATTTGACTGGCCTTCCGGATTTCAGAATTGCATGTAGCCCCTTTGTTTTAGCCAATTTCTCCCATTTGGGTGTATTTACCCAATACCTGTACACACATTGTATCTAGGAAGTAACTAACTTGCTTTTGATTTTACAGGTTCATAGGCAGAAGGGACTTGTCTTGTCTCAGATGAGACTTTGGACTATGGACTTTTGAGTTAATGCTAAAATAAGTTAAGACTTTGAGGAACTGTTGAGAAGGCATCATTGGTTTTGAAATGTGAGGATATGAGATTTGGGAGGGTACAGGGGTTTAATGATATGGTTTGGCTCTGTCTGCACCCAAATCTTATCTTGAATTTTAGCTCCCATAATCCTCATGTGTCATGGGAGGAACCCAGGGGGAGGTAATTGAATCATGCGGGCAGGTTTTTCCCATGCTGTTCTCATGGTAGTGAATAAGTCTCAGGAGATCTGATGGTGTTACATAGAAGAGGTCTCCTGCACATGCTCTCTCTTGCCTGTAGCCACCTAAGACATGACTTTGCTCTTCCTTTGCCTTCTGCCATAATTGTGGGGCCTCCCCAGCCATGTGGAACTGTGAGTCCATTAAACCTCTTTCCTTTATATATTACCCAGTCTTGGGTATGTCTTTATCAGCAGCATGAGAAAAGACTAATACAATGTGTGTCTTAATCTGAAGCATTGTTATATGAGATGCCATGCAAGCATTTTATAAGTACTCTTAGTGGTATGGGTGGAGTCCTTGCTGACAAAAAAGAGGAAATCATAGCCTGGAGTACCTATTAAGTCCAGTAAGGACAAATTAATACCCTTCCAGGATAAAAGACGTTCAGAATAATTGGCCTGTCTGCTATTAATGGCTGGCCTTTTAAATAAATGGAGCTACGTGGAGGGCCCAGTGTATGTTGCTGACAGGATAGACACTAGGCCCTGACAGTAGCTAGATCAGGGAGAACTTATGCTGTTGAGTTTTTGTGTAGCCTTCATCTTTACCACCATGACCACATGGTCATGGACTGATTGCACCAACACAGGGATAAACTAGTCAGAGACTAGTTCACATGCCTGGATGAGTCATTCTGTCCACCTGGTGACTGAAGCCTCCTTGGTGGTAGATGCTTTCTGGAAGGATTAAAGACAGAGATCTGAATGCTTTACTATGATTGTTTTTTTTAAAAAAAATAAGGTTCAAAAACAGGCAAAACTAATACATGGTGATAGAAGTTAGATTAGAAGTTAACCTCTCAGAGGTTGATTGAAAAGGGTCATAAAGATTTCTGAAGTCCTAAAAATATTCAGCATCTTAACCTGGATGGTGATTGCATGGGTATAATGTGTAGGTAAAAAAAATTCATCAAATTGTATTCTTTAAAACTTAATTCTGAGAGTAGAGTATATGCGTTATACCTCAAAAAAAGATTTAAAAATACATTAATAATATATTTGAGATAATCTAAATACATCTAACTCTAAAAATTGGAAACATATAAAATTATTCTAAGAATCATACCTGGTGGTAAGTTTTACGGTATTAAATCATTCTCAAGTAGAATGAGAACTAAATACCCTCCTGGGGGTGTGTGAAAATGTGTAGCAGCATTCTTGGCTATTGCAATAAAAGTGGTATACTATGGGCGTTTAATCCTTAGGCCAGGGTGCTAAAGATTCTGCAATGAACTGAACAAATGCACGCAACTAGTTTTCCCAACCAAAAGTCAATAAATCTATGTTATAAATAGTAACAAAATTTAATAAATATTATAATTTTTAAAAAATAAAATAACTGTATGCTTTGGGACCATTCCTACAGGTCTGTGACTATATCTCTCCCTCAAATCTGCTGGTCTCTGATCTTCAGGTTTAATTTCTTCCAGAATCCTATGCAACAAGCTCAGCCATTCCTCAAAGCCCAGAAGCCTGTGTGTCCTTATCTCAGATTACTTTTCTTTCCATTTGAAATGACCAAATAGTTCTACTGATGTTTTTTTTCAAATGGCAAGTGGTTCTCTTCCATAGAAGGCCTGATATTGCTTCAGAAATCTGGCATGTGAACTGTGACTCTCTAATTAGGGCTTGTCAGAGAAACAACACATCATCATTCTTTACCACAGCAACATCTGACACCATCAGATTTACAGGGTCATATGGCATGAGTGGAAGGGCAGCCTGCATTGCATTCTGAGCCTGTTGCAGAGGCTTCTCTTTATCAGAGCCCACTTGACCCTTGCGGTTTTCCAAGTTGGAGCAGTATTCTCATATGTGGCATATGTTTCTTCTAAAATTCTAAGAAGCCCACTAAGAGTTGTGCCTCTTACCTAGTGGTAGAAAGTGCAAATTCTAACAACTTATCCTTAACTTTAGACAGTCCCAGCACATGGTAGAGACTGCATCCCTCTGAACTTCACCAATGCATCACCCCACGAGGCTCTGTTGAGATTATCTTCTACTCTCTGGCAACATGTAATAACCAGGACATCAATAATATTTGCCATTTCCTACTCACTAGGTCCAGTCAACATCATGTCATCAATTTAAGGACAATAATATATTCAATTATATACATACTATATATATAATATTTATTATACCATATAAATACACAGTATATATATATATATATATATATATATACTTTTGAACTTTATGACCATATGAATTATATATGACTGTATATGTAATTTTAAACTTTATCACAGCCTTGGTGCAGGCAGTGAGTAATTTGCACTGTGTTAATCCTTTTTGCTGATACTAATGGCATATTCCTTTCTTATGGCTATTGCAACAAATTACCACAAATTTGGTTTCTTAAAACAATACAAATGTATTCTGTTATATTTCTGAAGACAAGATGTCTGTAACTAATTTCACTGGGCTAAAGGCAAGGTGTCAGAAGCGCTGGTCCCTTCTGGGGTTTTAGAGGAAAACTCGTTTCTTTGCCTTTTCTAGATCTTCTACTTTCTACTTCTAGAGACCCCTGGTGTTATTCAGCTTGTAGCCCCTTCCTCTATCTTCAAAGTGCATCTCTACAGTCTCTCCTCCTGTCACCACAGTGCTTTCTTCTGACTCTGGCCCTTCTAATCCTATTTATAAGGACATGTATGATTACATCCAGCCCACTGGGATAATTCAGGATAATCTTCCCATCTCGAGATTCTACACTTAATCACATTTGCAAAGTCCCTTTTTTCCATGTACATTAAAATTTATAGATTTCTGAGATTGTGACATGGACATATTTGGGGGTTATTATTCAGCCTGCCAGAATGATCAAGAAATCATTTGCCATAAAAAAGTCGTACGACAGGCTGAGCACAGTGGCTCATGGCTGTAATCTCAGAACTTTGGGAAGCCGAGGCAGGAGGATCTCTTGAGCCCAGGATTTTGAGACCAGCCTAGGCAACAAAGTGAGACCCCCGTCTCTACAAACAATTTTTTAGAATTAGTTGGGCAAGGTGGCATGTATTTGTAGTCATGCTTATTCAGGAGGCTGAAGCAGGAGGAATTCTTGTGCCTAGGAGTTTAAGGTTGCAGTGACTATGATCACACAACTGCACTCCAGCCCGGGTGACAAAACAAGATACTGTCTCAAAAAAAAAAAAAAAAAAAAGCCCTACATCAAGTGCCAGAGACTATGTTAATTGTATGTAAAAATAACACACCCAGCAGGAAGGCACAGATAGGGCTACCATCTTTTATCTTATGGTAGCCACCATAATCCACCACAATCCACCTGGCTTTTGCAGGATCTAGACATATTGATGGGAGAAAGGAAGAGGACCACTACTCCTACATAATTGCACATCTTTGGTGGTGGTAGTGGTCTCAGAGTTTCCTCAAAGAAGACAAATATTGCCTCTGATGTGTATCTTAGCTGAAAGGGAGAGGACATGGGGGCTTCAACTTAGCCATTCTCACTGTAACAGCCATTGCTCTACACATCAGATAATCAACATGGCTGGCTATTAAGTAAATCTATGTCCATCATACATTCAGAACCCAGGAAAATAACCAAATAACCACAGGCTATATATATATATATATATATATATATATATACACACATATATATATATATGTATATATATATATATATATACACACACATATATATATGTGTATATATATATATATATACACATATATATATGTATATATATATGTGTATATATATATATACACACACATATATATATATATATATATACACATATATATATATATGTGTGTGTATATATATATATACATATATATATACATACACACCCATTGGGCCCACTATGAGATATGCTTGAGCCAAATCCTATTTAATAGCTGGCTTTCTTATACCCCAACTCTAGAGAAATGTGAAGGCATTTTAGGTCCCCTGGTATTGGTGTCAGCTTAGAACATCTATCTAACAGCCCTCAAATAGTCTAGTTATTTCCTGCTCCTCATACATAGTAATCCTAGCACAGGGCCCTTTGGGGGAAATCAGAGGGATCTTTACCACATGTACTTGCAATGACATTGTAGGGCTCTTCCTTATGGGGTAGACCTTTGCCTTTAATCAAAAGTCACCTTGATCTCAGACATTGCTACAAACTTCTACAGGTTGAGACATCCAGATTACTATGACAGTGTTCTTACCCATTATAATAATTATGTCAGGCATATTCTCCTTGTCTGATAGTTAAGTGCTGCCACCCAGTCTCAACCACTCTGGAATCTCATCATCACCATTTGTCTTAGGGAGATTATTTCCATGTTAAGAATTCCAATGGTCATATCTAGCCTACAGAGGACACCCACCACTGAACTTCTCAACAATGCTGATGCTCCCTTATCCCCAGTGCATTTCTTACTGTGTTAGTGCAGAGTTCTCTCTCAGTGTAGACCCCAGAACAGTAACATTAACAGCACCTAGGAGCGTTTTAGAAATGCAAATTTTAAAACCTGAAATTTTAGGGTCTACTAAATGAGACTTTGGGAATGGGACCCAGAAATCTATATCTAACAAGCCCTTCTGGAAATTTTGATCTCCTCCTGGGAACTCTAAAGTTCAAGTGTAAGGACCACTGACTTAGTGAAAGGAGTGTTTTCTGGAAATTCTAAGAAAATATTATCAGATGGTAAATTTTAGATGTCGTGTAATAAATCAATTCTAATATTTCCATTGCCCCGACTCTTCTGACTTCATTCTCAATATTCTTCAGGTGGCAGACACTGCATCCCTCGGACTTTACCAAGCATCATCCTCAAATCTCTATTGAGATTATCTTCTACTCTCTGGCAACAGTTAGTTCTCCAGAACATCAATGATATTTGCCATTTCCTACATAGGCAAAGGGATCTCTATCTCCTTAATATAGGGATTTGATGTGTAGAAGCTTTAAGGAACTACTCTGAAGATTTTAACTTTTCTTCTATACGTACATACACACACAAATAAGTACAAGCAAAACTGGAGAAATATGATAAAATCAGTGGATTACATCAGTGTGAAATATTCTGATTGTAATATTTTTTTTTTGCAAGAAGTTACTGCTGAAGGGAACTCAATGAAAGGTACCTGGAATCTCTCTGTATTATTTCTTACAACTGCATGTGTATCTATAATTTATCTCATCTGTCTATCTATCTATCTATCTATCTATCTATCTATCTATCTATCTATCTATCCATCCATCTATCATCTGTCACATTTCTACCAGGAATGAATGAGTGATCCAGGTTCTCTACATTCTCATCAATATTTAGTGCTATCACTTAAAAAAAAAGTAGCCATTCTGATAGGTATCCCATTATTGGTTTGTTTTTCTTTCTTTCTTTCCCTACCTCCCTCCCTCCCTCTCTCGCTTTCTCCCTCCCTCCCTCCCTCTCTCCCTTCCTTCCTCCCTCCCTCTTTCCCTTCCCTTCCTTTCTTTCCTTCCTTCCTTTTTTTATTTTCCTGATGGTTAATAATGCTGAACATATTTTTCATGTGCTCTTTGCCATCTGTATACTTCCTTTGCTAAAATGTCTCTTTTTTGGGTATTTTGTCCATTTTCTAAGTGGACAGTTTGAACTTTTACTGTTGAGTTGTAAGAGTTTTTATTTAGTATATTATTGATAAAAGTTCTTTCCCAGATATCTGGCTTGCAACCTTTTTTTTTTTTTTTTTTTTTTTTTTTTTTTTTTTTACAGTTTCTACCTTGTCTTTTCAACTCCTTTTTGAGTCTTTTACAAAAAAGAAAGTGTTTAATATTGATGAAACCCAGTTTATCAATTTCTCCTTTTATGGATCATGCTTTTGGTATCAAGACTAAAGACTCAGCCAATTATTGAATAAGGTGTGAGTTGTAGGTCAAGGTGCATTTTCTTTCCTATGGATGTCCAATTGCTTCTACACCATTTGTTAAAATGATTTCCTCCCTTCAACTGCTTTTGCAACTTTTGAATATATTTGCGTAGGTTGAGTTCTGAATTCTGTTTTTCTGTTTGTTTTTTGTTTTGTTTGTTTGTTTTTGTTTTGAGACAGAGTCTCACTCTGTCACCTAGGCTGGAGTGCAGTGGCACAATCTCAGCTCATTGCAACATCCACCTCCTGGCTTCATGTGATTCCCCTTCCTCAGCCTCCCAAGTAGCTGGGATTACAGGTGTGCACCACCACGCCCAGCTATTTTTGTATTTTGAGTAGAGATCGTGTTTTTCCATGTTGGCCAGGCTGCTCTTGAACTCCTGACCTCAAGTGATCCACCTGCCTCGGCCTCCCAAAGTGCTGGGATTTTAGGTGTAAGGCACCATACCAGACCTAGTTCTGAATTCTCTTTTCTGTTCTATTGATCTATATGTGTCTATTCCCCTGCCAATATCATGCTGCCTTGATTACTATAGCTATAAATTAAGCTCAAGTGTCAGGTAGAGTGATTCATCTCACTATATTTTTTGGTCAAAATTGTTTTAGCTACTCTAGGATATGTATCTTTTCATATAAATTTTAGAATAAGCTGTGTTCATGAAAAAAAAAAACTTCCTGGGATTTTGATAGGAATTTTATTAAGCCTATAGATCAATTTGGAGATAAATATCATCTTTACTATATAGAGTTTTCCAATCCATGAACATAGTATGTCTCTCTGCTTACTTAGATTTTCAATTTCTGTCTTCAGCATTTTATAATTGTAATCATACCATTCTTGTACATGTTTTGTTAAGGGTATATGTGGGTGCTGTATTTTCTTTGAAGCAATTATAAATGGTATTATATTTTAAATTTTAGTTTCAGTATGTTCATTTTTAGTATAGAAAAATGATTGGTTTTTGTGTATTGATCTTAGATTCTACAATCTTAATAACCTCATTTCTTAGTTCTCAAGTTTTTGGGGGGTATTGGGTAGGATAGATTCCATGGAATGTTTTACATAGACAATCTTATGTGCAAATAGGGAGGATTTGATTTCTTCCTTTCTAATATGTGCCTTTTATTTCTTTTATTTGTTTTTTTCTTGTTCTTGCTAGAGCTTCCAGGCTTGTGTTGAATAGTAATGGTGAGAGTGGACATCCTTGCCTTGTTCCCAATCATCAGGGGAAAACATTTAGCCTTTGATAACTAAATACAATATTATTCATATGCTTTTTTTGTAGATGCCTTTTATTGTTGAGGTAATTCTCCTCCATTTCTAATTTTCTGAGATGAAAGGTTTTAATGAAAGGGTACTGAATTTTGTTAATTTTTCCACAATAATTCTATGAGTATGATTTTTCTCCTTTAGCCTGTTGTTATGGTGGATCCAGCAGACTTTCCAAATTTGCTTTAGGGTCTTTGATAAAACATTAAACCCAGATTCTCAGGTGATTTCTCCTATGTTAATAAATTCTACCCTGTCCAGTCTTATATTTGCTTCTCGCTATCCCAATCTTACCTACTTAGGATACATTCTCATATAGATTTCTCCTGTTTCTCACTCAAACACATTAGCAAGATCTTGCAATTTATTTTAGTTTATTATTGCATGTAGTCTATATTTCCTAGAGCAAGGCTGTATTTTCCTGATTGGTCTGTGCTAAGACCTAACCCTGATTATTGGCCTGGAGGCAATGAAGGATACGAGAAAGACTCTTGAAGTGTATAAGCATTATTTTGCAAGGCTCCTTCTTCAGGTGAGATATTGCAAATTTCAAGGCACTGACAGACTGTTGTCCTGCAGAAATTGAGAGGGGGTTACTTCTACTGGCCTGAGGAACTCAAGAGAATTTGGGGATTAAAGATTCTCAGACATATTCGTCCAATGTCCATATCTCAGGTCGTATGTCCCACCCTTTCTCTCAAGGCCTTAATTTTTAAAGGTGAGTATTTAGGTTCCATTAGCAGCTCCATTACAATAGAGTCTGTGCCTGATTTTCAGTACTGTATGCCTTATAGTTACAGAAGATAAGGGTATTACTAAAAGCTTTTATAAGGTGACTCCAGGTTTCATTACATGACTTAAGCTAGCAGTTGACCTGAGCCTATCATTTTCTATTGTCAAGGCTACTAGCATTGTTAACAAAAGCCATCTATTGAGACTAAAGCAACTCCATCTTGGCTGCTCATGTGCCATGTTGACTTCTGTTTAACCCCAATATTAGGAACGCCTCTAAGATTTCTATATCATCTACTCTTCCTTGTGTAAGAGCATGTACTTACCATAAATCCTGCCCTTAGGTCAAAACAACTCTGATGTTATTATACTTACTGTAAATCCTGCTCTTCAGTATTTATCCTCCACATCTCTTTCCCTACAGTTTAGCTAGGTCTGAGGGGTAATGGTGTGGGAATCCACTATCTTGTCTTGCCACCACCCAAGACACAGACATGGCTTCTGTTGTAAGTCCCTGTTAGATGTTTACCTCCTTCTTTCCTGAAAAACTGCATATGTCAGCCTCTTTCTTTGGCTTCTCAGCTTCCTTGGACTTTTAGGGGTAGGTTCGCATAGACCTGCTAACCACAGAACACCACCCAACTCCACAATTCCTATACTTGTCATTGTGCCCATTTTCTTTCATCACCACAACCACTGCATATCCCATGCTCTGCGTTCCACCTTCACCTCATCCCAATTATGCACAGGTGAAGGTCACAGAGATGGTGATGCCACTGCAGAACAGACATTATAAAACAGCCTAGTTCTGGTGCCATTGTCTTAGCCTGGGTTCTTAAAAAAGGCAAATGCTGGTGCTATACTAATTTATTTGGAAGAGAAATATCAGAGAAGCAGGAATTTGAGAAGGGGTTAATGAAACTGAGAAGAACAGGGGATAATAGAGGTATGTCATTGTGGTGGCTATCATGTGTGATCAAGAACAACCCATTGCTCTAACTTAGGAGATTCTCCACTGAGAAGTCTCATGAAGCTATTGCATCACAGGAAAATTAGTCCAGGGGCAAAAAAGGAGGCAAATATACTCACGAACTTCCATTTTTTATTGGTCACAAGTTCATCCCAAATGGCAATAAATCCCTGTACTTCAGGGCTGTGCACACATGGACACTGAACAGGTACTGTGCACACATGGACACTGAACAGGTACTGTGGCACTGTATCTCTCAGGAAGTGTCAGAAAACTCTGAGACAGGAGCCGAAAGGTGACCAGCACAGGTATGAGGTAAGGTGGGTTGGGTTGTGCCCATGCGATATTGGTTAAATCCCATGCCTAGTTAGTTACTGCAGAGGCAACTGGGATGGAACAAGTAGCCAGGGGTTCCAGAGATAAGTGAAGCTGAGCAAATCTGAAGCAGCACCTTAAAGGTGTGTGAAACACTACCTCAGAGGATTGATTTAAGAATTATACAAAATAAGACTCATAATACCATCAGTACTACCACAGGAAAACAGTAAATGCTCAATAAATGACAACTATTACTATTATCATTTATGCTGATGACATTATTGGCATGTTTACACTATCCATTGACATCTATGGCCATTACATAAAAAGGCAAAAATTCATCAGCATAATATACCGTTCTGTTACACAAATGAGTCATCATGAATGCTTTATTTTCAACAATTATATTTTTTATCTATTATCTTTTTTAAAACTTGGTCTTGTATTCCATTCCCTCTCTGTTATCTGGAATTACTTTCAGTTTTTTCACGAAGACCAAAATGTTGTTCTTCATATCGAATAAATGTATTCTTAGCCTTAGATTTCAAATTCAATGTTATTCTCCCTAAGATATTTAACATGCTTTTTTGTTGTTATGTTTATTTTATTTATTATTATACTTTAAGTTCTGGAATACATGTGCAGAACATGCATGTTTGTTACATAGGTATACACGTGCCATGGTGGTTTGCTGCACTCATCAACCCGTCATCTATATTAGGTATTTCTCCTAATGCTATCCCCTCCCCCAACCCCCCAATCTCCTGACAGGCCTCAGTGTGTGATGTTCCCCTCCCTGTGTCCATGTGTTCTCTTTGTTCAACTCCCTTATGAGTGAGAAAACGTGGTGTTTAGTTTTCTGTTCCCATTAGTTTGCTGAGAACGAAGATTTCAAGCTTCATCCATGTCCCTGCAAAGGACATGAACTCATTCTTTTTTTGGCTCCGTAGTATTCCACGGTGTACATGTGCCACATTTTCTTTATCCAGTCTATCATTAATGGGCATTTTGGTTGGTTCCAAGTCCTTGCTATTGTGAATAGTGCTGCAATAAATATACGTGTGCATGTGTCTTTAAAGTAGAATGATTTATAATCCTTTGGGTATCTACCCAGTAATAGGATTGCTGGGTCAAATGGTATTTCTGATTCTAGATCCTTGAGGAATTGTCACACTGTCTTCCACAATGGTTGAACGAATTTACACTCCCACCACAGTGTAAAAGTGTTCCTATTTCTCCACATCCTCTCCAGTTTCTGTTGTTTCCTGACTTTTTAATGATCGCCATTCTAACTGGCATGAGATGGTATTTCACTGTGGTTTTGATTTACATTTCTCTAATGTCCACATGGTGATGAGCTTTTTTTCATATGTTTCTTGGCCGCAAAAATGTCTTCCTTTGAGAAGTGTTTGTTCATATCCTTCTCCCACTTTTGGATGGGGTTGTTTTTTCATGTAAATTTGTTTAAGTTCCTTTTTGATGGGATTGTTTCTCATGTAAATTTGTTTAAGTTCCTTGTATATTCTGGGTATTAGCCCTTTGTCAGATGGACAGATTGAAAAAATTTTCTCCCATTCTGTAGGTTGCCTGTTCACTCTGGTGATAGTTTCTTTTGCTGTGCAGAAGCTCTTTAGTTTAATTGGTTCCCATTTGTCAATTTTGGCTTTTGTTGCCATTGCTTTTGGTGTTTTAGTCATGAAGTCTTTGCCCATGCCTATGTCCTGAATGGTATTACCTAGGTTTTCTTCCAGAAGCTTTATAGTTTTAAGTCTTATGTTTAAGTCTTATATCCATCTTGAGTTAATTTTTGTATAAGGTGTAAGGAAGGGGTTCAGTTTCAGTTTTCTGCATATGGCTAGCCAGTTTTCCCAACACCATTTATTAAATAAGGAATCCTTTCCCCATTGCTTGTTTTTGTCAGGTTTGTCAAAGATCAGATGGTTGTAGATACGTGACATTATTTCTGAGGCCTCTGTTCTGTTCCATTGGTCTATATATCTGTTTTGGTACCAGTACCATGCTGTTTTGGTTACCGTAGCCTTGTAGTATAGTTTGAAGTCAGGTAGCGTGATGCCTCTAGCTTTGTTCTTTTTGCTTAGGATTGTCTTGGCTATATGGGCTCTTTTTTGATTCCATATGAAATTTAAAGTAGTTGTTTCTAATTCTGTGAAGAAAGTTAATGGTAGTTGATGGGGATAGCATTGAATCTATAAATTACTTTGGGCAGTATAGCCATTTTCATAATGTAGATTCTGCCTCTCCATGAGCATGGAATGTTTTTCCATGTGTTTGTGTCCTCTCTTATTTCCTTGAGCAGTGGTTTGTAGTTCTCCTTGAAGAGGTCCTTCACATCCCTTGTAAGTTGTATTCCTAGGTATTTTATTCTCTTTGTAGCAACTGTGAATGGGAGTTCACTCATTTGAGTGAACTCACTCTCCATTTTTCTATTATTGGTATATAGGAATGCTTGTGATTTTTGCACATTAATTTTGTATCCTGAGACTTTGCTGAAGTTGCTCATTAGCTTAAGGAGGTTTTGGGCTGAGACAATGGGGTTTTCTTATTAATATATGCAAAGCATGTGAGAAGTATCTGGAACATAGTAATCACTTAATAGAACCACTGTCCCTTTTTCTCCTTATCTTTGTGTACCTCCTTCTATTACTGCTCCTACTATTAGTACTACTACCAACCTACTACTAGTACTACTGCCACTACTATTAGTATCACTACCGACCTCAGCATCATGGTGCCCTTTTCATACAAACAAATACCCTTCAGTGTTAGATTTTTGCCCCCATCACTTTCTTTTTCTGCTCCCTGTGGACAAAAATGCTGGCTATACTTTGGAAATATTTTGTCTGGAAAGACTTCCAGACAAAAATGCTGTTAGAAAAAGGCATATAATGGTAAAGGCATAAACAACAACTGTAACTATTATAACTACTAGGAACTCACCTCACTTTATTGAGCACTAAAAGGCACTGTGGCAAGCACTTTACATGTTTCATGCCATTTAATCCTCATCATAATACCATGGAGTAGGAATTATTATATCCATTTTGCAAATAAGTAAACAAAGCCTTAGAAATGTTAAATAACATTATCAGTGTCTCCCAGCCTAAAAGAGGCAGAATAACAATTTGAACCCATTGGTGTCTGGTTCCAAAATTACTATGCTGAGCCACGATGTTGTACTACTGGCCTGCAAGTATTTATTCCAGAAATGCATTTTCCCCTTTGTCAACTCCCACTATCACCATCCACTTTGGTCATTCACACCTTCTCTTTCCTGGACAAGTTTTCACCAAATCCATCTAGGTGATATGCTCCCATATTAGTTCTCTAGAGCAGCAGTCCCCAACCTTTTGGCATCAGGACCTGCTTTGTGGAAAACAATTTGACAATTTTCCAGGGACCACAGTTGGGGTTTGGGGGAGTGGTTTCTGAATGAAACTGTTCCACCTCAGATCATTAGGCATTAGGCATTAGATTCTCCTCAGGAGCATGCAACCTGGATTCCTTGCATGTGCAGTTCACAATAGGGTTTGCACTCCTATGAGAATCTAATGCTGCCGCTTATCTGACAGGAGGTGGAGTTCAGCTGGTCATGCTCACTGGCCCACTGCTCACCTCCTGTTGTGTGGCCTGGTTCCTAACAGGCCACAGAACAGTTCTGCTCTAGAGCTGCCGTAACAAATATCACAAATTAGGTGGCTTAAAACAACAGAAATGTGTTAAATGTGTTATCTTATAGCTCTGGAGGCCAGAAGGCAACCCATACCATCTCCCAACACTCTCTCTCACGCGCATGTGTGTGTGTGTGTGTCACATACACGCACACGCACACACAAACTTGCCTTATTTAATAGCTTGAGGTGGTAGCAGGGCCATGCTCCTTCTAGAAACTGTAGGATAGAATCCTTCCTTGCCTCTTTGATGTTTACTGGCAATCCTTAGCATTGCTTTGCTTACAGATCCATCACTCTAATCTCTGCCTCCATCGTCACATGACTGTCTTCTTTCTATGTGTTTGTCTCTGTCTCTTCTCTTCTAAGGATGTCAGTTATATTAGATCAAGGGCCTACTTTTATTCCAGTATGACCTCATCTTAACTAAGATCTTGAGTAACATCTTAATTACGTCTGCAAAGACCCTGTTTGCAAATAAACACACATTCATTGAGAGTGGGAATCAGGGCTTCAATGTATCTTTTGGAGGACCACAATTCAACCCATACCCTCTCCCAGCACTCTCTCTCCTGTCTCTTTCTGTGTGTGTGTGTGTGTGTCTGTGTGTGTGTGTGTGTGTGTATGCCTGTCTCTTTTTCTCTCTCTCTCTCCTCTGTGTGTGTGTGTGTGTGTCTGTCTCTTTCTCTCTCTCCTCTGTGTGTCTGTGTGTGTGTGTGTGTGTGTGTATGCCTGTCTCTTTCTCTCTCTCTCTCCTCTGTGTGTGTGTGTGTGTGTGTGTGTGTGTATCTCTCAGAGACACACACACACTTGCCTTATTTAATAGCTTGAGGCCACAACCCACAACATCGCTGTCATCTTCTTTGGTCATATTCTAACATTGGTGTAGACAAATGTGATGAGCATTTAGAAGGCTTGGCCCATGCCTTAAGTTTGGTGGTTTTTTTTTTTTTTTTTCCAGATGGAGTTTTGTTCTTGTATCCCAGGCTAGAGTACAATCGCACTATCTTGGGTCACTGCAACCTCCGCCTTCTGAGATCAAGCAATTCTGCTGCCTCAGCCTCCTGAGTAGCTGGGATTACAGCCACCTGACCACCACGCCTGGCTAATTTTTTTTGTATTTTATAGTAGAGATGGAGTTTCATCATGTTGGTCATGCTGGTCTCGAACTCCTGACCTCAGGTGATCTACCCACCTCAGCTTCCCAAAGCGCCATGCCTTGTTTTAGGCTTAAGAGGTCTGGGATCTTGTCCTAACTCAGCTACTCCCTGTTTATGGAATCTTGAATTATTTCCTAACCTGCTCTGAGACCTCAATTATACAATGTAAGATTAATGTAATAATGCCTTTCTTACACAGTGACTGTGAAGGTTTAATGACCTAAGGAAAAAAAATATTTAGATAAAAAACTGCATTTATAGTCTTGTAAGCTAGGGAGTATTTTCAAAGATAAGATGACATGATTGTCATTTACACCCACTTACCTCTTCTGGTCACTGACCTCAGAGAGGGGGCCAGTTTCCCAGTTGTGCCAAGTCTTCTCTCTGCCTCCTGAGGGATTTTTGTTTTTGTGTTTTTTTTACTACATCTTTCTATTTTAATCTCTCCAGATTTTTCCCCTCAACTGAATTGCTTTCAAATAAGGTATTTTTTCTCATCCTGAAATGATTTTTAAATGACCCTACTCACTATTTTTACCTGTCACCTTCTCTTAACAGCGAAACTTCCAGATGAATGTTCTACAACTATGCTTCTATTTCCTTTTAACCTATCCTCCTGATATTTCTTTGGTGTCGATGTCACCTGTCAACTGAACTGCCTTTTTGAAAGTCACAATGGCATTAAAGAATCTTGGCACTGAAAGGAAATAGCCGGGTGCAAATGTGTCTTTTCTTGGCCTCCAGGCCTCCTCACTATTCTGCGGTGTATCACAGCTGGCCACCTGCCTTCTTCACTTTCTCTTTATCTTGACTTCTCTGATATGACAGAAGGCTCTCTTGGTCCTTTTACCTTTGTGAATAAGACCTCGCCATTCTATTTGCTACTATACATTTTGTCCTCTGTCCTAAAGGTGGGTGTTCCCAAGTTCTCAGGCTTTTATAATGTGTCCTCTCTTTAATTCCTCTGGAAGACATCATTCTTTTTACGGTTTTAACTGACACGTCTTATCCATCTTCCTGCCTTATCTTCTTACTGTGTCCTTATCCCATATTTCTGGCTGAAAACACAAATTACTCACCAGGACTTGAAATATATGCTTGTTACACTTACTACCACCTCAGACTCAACAGGTCTAAAGCATGAACAACGAACTTACTTTATGCTTCCCCACCGTTTCCTTCCCCAAAGCATCCTTTATGAAAATCTCCTTTGCTATAAATGTTCTGTTTATTTTGTTTGTTTGTTTCAAAATTCTGGAATCACCTTCAAACACTTTGAAGGTGATTCATAGTCTCCATATTCTGGGAGGTAGAAGAGGAGAGGACGGGGATAGAGTGTTACTTAGAGCTGGGGTTGGGATTTTGCTTCTCTCTAAATATATCAGAAAGATTGGAGACCCCTCATCTCCTCCCAGTCCACAAACTGAATCCACCAAACCCAGAACCGTACTACTTATCTCCTGGGTGCTTGTCTTTCCTCTTTGCTCCAATTAATCTTAAAAATGCAGTGTGCTACTTCAATAACTCCTGATAATGTGCAGTTTTCATCAATGTGGTGATCCTGACCAACTTCTTAAGTTTTCATAACTTTCTAAATATGAACATTTTGCCAAAAATGATTGGTCTCTTTAATCTCTCTTACACACGTTTTTACCCCCACTCCTTGCAGTAAGTGGGAATGTCTTAGAATGTTTTGCAGAGCAGAACACCAACACCACACTAGAAATTGGTGGTGGACCCTATAAATTTCTGTGCACTGATGTGACCCAACTCATCTAATTCTGGCAACCTATTTACATTAAATATCCCCCAATTTTAAAATTAAATGAGTAAAAGTTCAAAATATCTCCTAAATCATCTAATACATAAAAATTTTTGGAACCTCTGCTGAGCACAAAGTACTTAAGTCATTACTGTGGAGAGATTAAAGCATAAGCCAGTTCCTCAGTCAATTACCTCACAAATAAATGTCACTTATTTACAGGTACACAAAATATTATATTATGCTTTCCCATAATTCTTTCCTCAGATTTACATTGGTGGTCAACTGCCATATTAAAAAAAAACAAAACAGTTATCTGACTACTCCATGTAAATTACACAGGGACACAAGAAACTAAAGGAGAGAAGTAAACCAACATTTATTCGTACATTTCTACTAAGAAGGCAGGAACTCTGTTAGAAACTTTAATGCATTTCGTCAGGCAATTTCCACAAGAACATAGTAGGTATTTTTAACCTCTACTTTACAGAGGAGGAAAATGAGGCAAAGGCAATAAAAGTCCCAAAGAATTAACTTGTTTAAGAAATCAAAAATTGACTGTTTTCTTTGGTGAGTGTTGGGCTACCTCGAGGACTAAAATAAACCTAGACCTTTCCCTGGATGTTGGCCTGATATGGCAGCTCCAGAGCATTAACCATGATAATAGAATCATTTGAACCAGATAATGCAGACTTCAGAGTCCCAACTCTTACTCTAAGTAACACTTTATTCTCTTCCACTCCTCTCTACCTGATGGAATATGGAGACTATCCCTTTTGAGATCCAGAGAATGTGTTTCTGTGACCTAGATGCTTCTGTGGGCAAGCTTTTATGTAAATCTGTAACACATTAATAGTCGAGGTTCATTGTGACCATCCTATGTAGGTTCAGTCTCTGCCTGGCCACCGAATTCCTACCCATCCATCTAAAGAGCAGTCCCCAACCTTTTTGGCACCAGGGACTGGTTTCATGGAAGATGATGTTTCCACAGATGGTAGAGTGGAGGGAATGGCTTTGGGATGAAATTGTTCCACCTCAGATCATCAGGCATTAGTTAGATTATCATAAGGAGTGCTCAACCTAGATCCTTCATATGCACAATTCACAACAGGTCTCGTGCTCCTACAAGACTCCAGTGCTGCCGCTGATTTGACAAGAGGCAGAGCTCAGGCGGTAATGCTCGCTCACTTGCAGCTCATCTCCTGCTCTGGGGCCTGCTTCCTAATAGGCCATGGACCAGACTGGTACCAGTCCACAGCGTAGGGGTTGGGAACCCCGGTCTAAAGCATCCGGCTTCCCAGGCCATGAGCCAAGGCAGACCAGAGCAGTTGGCAGATGAGACAGGGATCTAGACTCAGTTTCACAGTCCTAAACCTGGTATCTACTCACTTCTAGTCAGGGTTCAGGGTCAATTCTATGTGGAAAAAGAAGTAATGTTTCTCCCTAGCTCTTACAGCAGGTGCAAAGTTCATGGGATTTGCACTGATGATGTTCATATCTCTAGTAAGATTATTAGTTATCTCCAAAACTGGAGCTCATTCTTGAATGCTATGTAGTTTGAATAGCCCTGAATCCTCTGACTGTTTGTTACAAACCCTCTCTCTGGATTGTTATTCCCTGTTCTATAACTGACTCTGAGCTTGTTTCAATGTTAACAGGTCTTAGAACAATAATGCTGCCACCCACGAGAAATGAGAGCCAGGTGAGGACTCCAGAGGATCTGTCTGTTGGCCTGAGAGAGATGAAGGGCCAAAGGGCCTTAGGATGACAGCTTTCAGTGCTATCCTCTTTGGAAGACAGCAAAGAAAGGACAGAGTTTTCTGCTTTGGAAGACAGGAAAAGAATGCTCCAGAAATCATATATGACTCTTCTTATAAAAGGAAGGCAGAAGAGAATGTGATAGAGGCACTTTTTGTCAGAAGGTCCCTTCTGGCTCAGAAATGTTATTAAGAATATTTCTTTACTTGAGATTAGATGTGTATTTTTGAAAAATCATTGGGAAAACGAGAATGGAGAGACATGCTGTGTACTGGGAATAGCACAGCGGAGCTCCATAGCATTGCACTCAAGGCCCTTTGGACTGACCCCTACTAACCTCTCCCTCCACATCCCCTGAGGCCCCCCCAACCCTCAAAGGTGTGACCCATCATTACTCCCATCAGCCTGAAGGTCCCATGTGTTCGAGGCTGTTTCATGACTCCTTGTACGCACTCCCTCATCTTCCCAGAATATCTTCCTTCCTTCTTTCATCTCCCAACAGCTACCTGCTCTCCATTTCCACTGGCTTGACCCACTTTCTTCCTCTTGGACAATTCTCACTCATTCTTTAAATTCTGCCCAGAAATTTCCTCACCTGTAAAGCCTTTTCTTTCCTGCTCCCTTCCAGTGAAAAAAAAAAATCTCTCCTTTAACATGGACTTTGGCATATATATATAACTGCAAATATTATACTCACATTAGGTTTACTTCTTTACCTGCCACGCATACCTTTAGAATGCCTTGTAAGCAGCAATTGTGTTCATTCATGTTTTTATCTAGCATAGTGCAATATAACATGGGTGGTGATTGTGAGTCCAAATGGGTCTGCATGCTGTGCATTTCCAGCAGTGCATGGAGGCATGGCTGTGCGGTGGGAGGCAAGGCAGGGGGATCTGTGTGCATTGCAGATCTACTGTGCTCTATGAACTTACATGTCAGAGGTTGTGGGGGCCAACTATCCACTTAAGCACGTACCAGGATCACCACTGTCCATTTAGCTAATTTCATGTCTTGGGGTTCAATCATTAAGGGAAATACAGGATATCCTGATTCAAGAGGCTTGTGGTGGAGCTCGAGCATCAAAACTGTTTTTCTGTTTTGTTTCATTTTAATTTAAGAACTCCATAGGTGAATTTAATACCAAAGCAAAGTTGAGAATTCTATTAGTCATTTTAAGGAAGCAAGTTGTTCAACCCCTTTTGTATTCTTTGTAAATTCTTCTAAAGTAAATTGTAGTCCATAGCTTGACTGAATCATTCTAAACACCATATTGGGGTGTCAGAATTAGGGAGACAGTATAATGTTTTATACACACCCATACACATGACTTAGTTTGCTACAGGAAAAGAAGGTATTCAGGCTTAATTCTTTTTGAAACTAAGTAAAGTGTATACAGGAAAATATGAAAAATAAAAAGTAAGCGCACACATTGTCATACTAGGCTAGGATGGGTATCAGGAGACCTTTTGTCTTGGCTCTGTCACTAATCAGTTACTTACTCTTACACATTACAACCCAAACCATTTAATCTGACAGTATTTTAAAGTTTACAAAGTGCGTTCTTATATGTTGATTGATCTGAAAAGTGAGTGAGATAGGCATTTTTCTATGCTTTTCAGAGTTGAAGAAACTGAGCCTTAGAATGCACTTTGAAAATGGCTGTAGCCAGTTAAAATGAATTAATGTACCTGGTAGATATGAAGTGGGTTCTAAACCCAAAAGTTGACTTGTGTGTTTTTTTATAACTCCTTCCAAATTTATTGACAGGTGTTACTGTGTCAGTTTAAGAAGACTCACTCATAACACTTGTCACATCTTATATCAAACTGTAACTTTCTTTTTGTATTTACAGTGGTATTTCAAACATCTTGGGACTGTTTGAGTTCCAAACTGTTTGGGACTGAGCCCTCTAAAATCCTAGGAAACTAAGATTATTCCATGATTGCTGATTGATAGAAGTATCACAGTCTTAAATATTCAACTGCAATGAAATAAAACAGAGGGGAGTTGGGAGAGCTCTTTACACAGGGCCAGGAAGAGAAAAGAAAGCCTGTTGGAACATTGGGAATATATTTGTCCATCTTAGAGAATTGTTTTTACTTTTAATTAAAAGAGCAAGTTATAAGGCCAGGGAAGAGAGCTGTATCTCCAAAAAGAACCACGGTCACATCCATAGACCCAGATCTTACTACTCCAGTTATCTCATATCTGAACTTTTCCAGTAGCCTTCTGACTGTTCTCCCATCTTTCATCCTCCTCCGAGTTCTATCCTTTTATTTTACCAGAGTGATATTTCAAAAACTCAGCTCTGCTAAAACATTTCTGATGGTTCACCACTACCAATAGGAAGAAGACTGAGTTCCTTGGCCTATTGTAAATGACATTTCTTTATTTAGCTGGTCTTGATGTTCATTCTTTTCTACCACTTCACTTGACTCTCACACTCTAGATACACTGAATACCTTTAGCTCCAATAAATGGGGCAAGAATGATCCACATATTTGTACATCATCTTCTCTCTTTCTCTAATAACCTTCCTTGATCCATCTGCTTCGCAAACAATAACCAATCTCTTGAGACTTTGCTCATGTGTTGCTTCCTCTGGGACTGTTGGCAAAGTGAAGCACTTCCTCCTCTGTGTGTCCATAAGGCCTCCTAGTGAACAATTTCCCCTCCAGAGCTTAGAGCTGCTTGAGGTGTGGCCTGAATCTTGCTCCATTTTGTTCTCACCAGTACCACGAACTGTGTCTAGTCAATACCAGAAATGCAGTCATCCTTGTTGAGCTTATGGATGTTTTAGAGACAAAAGCTGAAATTTAAGAGTAAGGACAAACCTAAGGCAAAGAAAGCACACCAGAGATGGAAAAAAAATTTTCCTCTGCACTGGCCACACACAAGCTTCAGTACAGAGAGAACTCTGAACTCAAGAATTCTGAGAAATGGGGTTAATTAATCAAAGAAACACTGGAGACTGAGACAACTTTAGGTCATTTAGTCCTGCCAGGACTATAATATTCCCCACAGTATATTTCCTAGTGTATTATCCTGTCATACTTTAAATATTCTCAGTAATGGGGCCTTTCAGAGGTGCTGATTAATAGGGTTTAGAGAAAAATGGCAAGAAGAAAACTGCATGCCAAGGAGCAGAGGAAGAGAGAGTGATGGGCAATTTCATGTCTTTGGACCTAGAAGGTGAAAGGGTCATTCTCCCTATAGACTGGGTGTTGCAGACAGGCAAGAAAATATTTGGTCACGTTGTAGCTAAATGACAGATCAGAAAACCTCTACTCACTCAAAAGGAATAGCTTTGAGCCAAACCCCCAAGAAGGTTATATTCCAGGGACTGTGTTCTTGTCTTTCCCTCTCTCTCACATTGCAGCAGAACTAAGAATCTACTTAGTCCCGAGGAAAGGAAGACTGATGTGGTTTTTATTGTTGCTGTTTGTTTTTACAAAACCTTCCCAAGTTTGAACTTATTTGAGGCATACTGACCAAGGCTGCCAAATCTCTCACTTTAAGTTGTAGTGAACCCAGGGCTGAATTAATGTGATGTTTTAATGAGATTTTTTTAAAAATCTGGAACCAAATGTTTCCATTCCAAATATTTTGTGTTAGAGGTAATTATTTATCCTATTAAAAAGCTAATGATCCAGCAGAGCTTTTATTGGCCAAACGACATATAAAACTCACATCAAGAAAGCCCAAAGCCAGGTCCAGAGCTGCTTATCTCCTCAGAAATTTTTCAATCTTTCCTGGATGGCCTGAATTTCAACCTTACATTGAAAACGTGTGATCTACCAAAATAATATAGATGAATGGGTTCTTAAATGTTGTTCATTTAAGTCAAATAGAGCTACATATCTCTAGAAAATGACCCAATATGATTGGAAGTTCCCCAACTTGACACATTCTTCCCTTAATTCCAAGGACTGCCTGCATTTCTCAACCACTACCTTCCTGAATTAAGGCAATGCCACCAGAATGTTCCAGCCAATGAAGTAGTACTAACACTAATGGCTGCTCACAAGTTAGGATACAGGGCTAGTATAGCAAATCGTGTGTTTCAAAGGACACAGATATAAAGGAATGGGACAAATACCAGACACAGTTTGATAGGATAAAAAGAATCCTGGTTATGGAATAGCTCAGCATATATATATGTGAGAGGAGTGGAAATGGCTTTTTGAGATGTTAACTTTTAAGGACAGGGGCTTTTGAGGGTAGAAGGAGTCATCAAAGTAAGACTTTCCTAACCTCATATTTGTCTGGGGAAGACTTTGGTAGTAAAAGCTTTTAAGTAACCAGTTATAAAAGTAGAAAAACGAGAAGAGCTACAGAAATTATTTCACTGCACATTCAAATTAGAATGAATCACTGTGCCTCAGTGAAACAGATCTTGGATTGAATTATGAATCTGTCACTGTCTAGCCGGTGACTTTAGGCAAGTCTGTTATATTTTTCTAATCCTTACATTGTTGGAAATTGAATGAAACAATGTACATAGCAAGCCTCTCCTTTTTTTAGATATTCATAAAAATTGTTTTGCTAAAGAATAGTACTTTACGAAAGAAACCATAGGGTTATGCCTTTTTCCATTCATCAGTATCTCACACATTATCTATCAGGAGTGCTAACAAATAGTTATTGAGTATGTAATTGAATAAATTATTCAGAAAAAAAGAGAAAATCCATCCATAATTGCCAATGATAAGGAAAGCAGAGAGACAACTAAAATTGAAGTCAAGAAGAATTGCAAGCAGTTAAAGAAACCATGATCCAGATGAGAATGGAAGGAACTAAAGAAATAATGGAAAGGAGAGAAGGAAGGAAAGAAGGGAGGGAGGAAAGAAAGAAAAGGGAAGAAGGAAGGAAGGAGGAAGGAAAAAGGAAGGAAAGAAAAGGAAGGAGGAAAGAAAGGGAAGGAAGGAAAGAAAAGGAAGGAGGAAAGAAAGGGAAGGAAGGAAAGAAGGAAGGAAGGAAAGGGGAGGAAGGAAGGAAAGGGGAGGAAGGAAAGATAAAGAGGAGAGAAAATTTATAAAACTGAGTAAAAATCAGTTTTTCATCTTAGCAGATGTGGAAGAGGTTTATAGCCATTTTTATATCTCTCATTCAGTTTCTATGGGACATTATGAAAGATGAGGGAAAACTAATGAGATGTGGATACAAGAACTTATTTGCTATGTCAACTCAATGACATGCTAGTGAAATCTTGGTCAGCTCCTCAGGTGTTTCTGAAAGCTGTTTTCTGAAGTTTGTGCAAATGCAACATAGAGAACACCATCTTCTCTACAGGAAAGGCACGGGTAGCATGGAGAAGCACCACTTCTAAAATTCTCTCAACTGAGACGCATGGAGAATACCAGGGGTCAACCACAGTTTAAAAGCTTTATTTCTCAGAAAGGTCATTCTGTATAAGATTTATGGATTGAAAATTTATTAGAAGAAAAAATAAAGGGAGAAACAGGAGGGAAATCACATCTAATAATTGCTCCTATGGAGTAATTTTCTCTTTTAATTTAATCCTCCTCTAACTCATCAAGGTTGGTATTATGAGTCTTACTTTACAGATGATAAAATAGAAGCTCTGAAATGTTCCACAGCTTGCCCATGTTTATGCAACTACCAAGTGTGAAGCTTATATTCACACTCTGATGCCTCTAACTGGAGGGTGGAATGGGTGGAACATAGCAGCTATAACACTTGTTTTACTTCAATTATCTCTCACATACTGTAGGTACAATTTTTTATTTGATAACAAAAGTGCTACAAGTCAGGATTTGTTTTCCCTATTTGACAATAGGAAAATATAATTCAGAGAGGCCAAGTCATATATTCAGAGTGAGGATTCACTTCCAAGTACAAAAACTCCCATTACCTAGAAACCACCTCATTCTTAGGAAACTGGGCCAGCTGGTCACCCTA
Source organism: Homo sapiens (assembly GCF_000001405.40). Lineage (NCBI taxonomy): Eukaryota > Metazoa > Chordata > Mammalia > Primates > Hominidae > Homo > Homo sapiens. The sequence goes on along the minus strand of NC_000015.10, from coordinate 86,807,648 downwards.
CTTTTCATGGCTCCAAGGTCAACACACTTTCCACAACACCCAGGACTTCCAAGGTACACAGACCATACCTATAGGCTGCATGGCCTCTCTACTTAAAGTAGTAATATTAAAACAGGTTCCAATTCCACTTTTGCTAAGAAACAGAACAATGACAGCAAAAAAAAAAAGTTCTTTTCTGTCTCGTCTTCCTTGCGCTACCACTGTTGTCATCAGCAACCACAAAAGCAAATATTTTTGGTGCTCCTACTATGTTCCACATTTGGTGCTCAATGCTTCCAACGTGATGTCTCTTACAGTTCTCTCCAACAGGTTATTATGAACCCACAAAAATAATATTTGTAGGTCACAGTAAATGGACAGTTATGGTCAGAGATGACCAGGTAAGAGCCCCAATTAACCCAGACCCTGGCTGTCTATTTGCAAGGCTAAAGTGCTCACTATTTGGCTTGCTTGTAACGAATGCATGGCACATTGGCTGAGCAGCTCTGTTCTATCTTATTTAGATCTTTACCCACCCCTATGTTCAAGATCAACTAACTTGGACTTAGGGAGGTTTGTCACAGTTCCACAATTAGTATATGTTAGAGCTAGTTTTGAGCCAGATTATTTGGAATGTTCCTCAGGAAATCTAGAAAGCAGTTACAAGTTTTAAGGAAAAAAAGGTAGATATAAAATATAAATTAGATTCAGTTCTGCAATGCAGATGTAGTCACCAATAAAGAATAATATATATGTACCGTATGATACGTGGTATATCACGTATTGTATATAACACAGTACAATAGAATATAATAGATGTAAAAGATAAAATAGTTATTAATTATAATATTTATATAGTGTACAAGTAAGCATCATTATATATTATATGCATTATGTATATAATTAATATAAAATAATAATGAGAACTTTTATATTACTTTATAAGTAGCAGCACTCTTATGAGTGCTTTTATACATAAATTAATTCAATTTACCTTCATAACAACCCTCTGAGATAGTATTATTTCTCCCATTTTACAGATTAGGAAGGGAAGGCATAGAGAGGTTAAGAAGCTTGCTTAAGTTCACATAACTAGTCAGTGTTAGAACCAGAATTTGGACACAGCCAGTTCCTCCGAAGTCCTTGTCTTGAACTACCACATCATCATGGAATGTGAAACTAATATGAGGTCCATCTCCTGAGATTTCCAGGCCCAGAACACATATTTCATATGGCATTAACTGTTTGATACTTCTTTTGGGAGTTTCAGTTCTGCTCAGCCACTTTTTAAGTAATTTCTCCCTAATTTTTCTCTCCCAGGTCATATTTCCTCTGCTTAATCAGAGTTTTGCACCCTCTCAATCTGCTTAAGATTGATCTGGCAGAGTCAGTCTGAAGTGGTGGAGATCATTCCAGTTTCCATCTTGACCCCATTGATCTATAGTATGTCTATGTCCTCATCATCTGAATCATAGAATCCCAAATGCATGACAATGTATTGTCCCTGGAGGAAGAGCTGGCTCCAAGTTTCTGGAATATGTCTTTGTGTTCTGGAGGCCTCCCACCCTTCCTTCCTTCCAGTCTCCAATCCCCAGCAAGCCTCCAAACAGTGAGGCCAAAGTATGAATATGCTGGGCCTTGAGCACTGATCAATTCTTGGCAGGAAAAAGTCTCTGGGGAAAGAGCCCCTGAAATCAGCATAGACCCCATTAGTATTTTCTGGAGTTTGTGCTGTTACAGAGCTCTAACTGTAGTGTTGTAGACTGTTTTGGTTTTCCCTGCTTCTATTGGGTCTGTCACAAACTGATTAGGACTTATTCATAGTACGAGTTGACTTTTGGGGATTGCAACTGGGTAGTAAATGGTTGAGTGTGTTGTAGTTGGTTGTAGAAAGACTGTCAATGCCTATCCTGTATATTTGGGGCAAAATTAGCATTTTATTTTGGAAAAAAATACTTTTTACACATGAAACATCATGAAAATAAGCATTTCAGAGAACAGTGAGAAAATCAACGAGCATGTCCCACCAACCCCAAGGGGCTATGTTAAGTCCACACATCTTCAGAATAGCTAAAAATCATTCCAAACAATTCGTAATCTTGTACACTCTGAGATATGTTTCTAACCCTCTTCCTATTGTGCACATGTCTACAGCACAGAGCCCTACACATTTTTATTAGCTCCCTTGTTGGAAGGCTCAGCAGAGAGGGCTAGATGCTGAGTGGTTGGCAGTACTGAGGAACTCTCATCTCACACCAAGTGGCAGTGTTGGGCAGCGGGCAGAGTGGGCAGAGGAACAAGGCTCTTGCAGAAAGTCTTGTGGCGTGCTGGAACAATTCACAGAGGAGACTTTTGCACCACTCTTGCTCAGTTAAGTCACTATATGTGTGTTAATAAAAAACTTCGGCCTCTAGGGTCTATTTGTCTGATGCTCCTTACAGACAAAATTTATTTTGAGCAATAGGAAAAAAAAAAAGAAAAAACCCTCTTTTCTCCTTCTTGAAAAAATAATGGATTGATATAATTTGTCATTGGCCCATGGGTGAGACAGCTCTGCTCAGCTAACCAATTATCTCCTGGGGCCAGAAAAGACCACTTGAGTCCTTTGCAATTATTTTATCCAATATGCACTAGAAACTTGGCACTGGGAGTCCTTCAGCCTTTCCCACGGGACCCTGCTCACTCCCCGATGGCTCTGTCTAAACAGCATCTCCCTTATTGGCTAATCTAAACTTTTCCTACCTTAGCTTTGAGCTCTTGGTTTATATTCCATGGTTTCTGGCCACCGATGCTTCTTTTCTTTGTGGAAAGTGAGTTTGGAAAATAATTCTTCCAAAGAAACTTTGGTATTTAGACATTAAAATCCTCTGTGGCTTTCCTTCTATGCAGACATAAAAACTCAGGGCCTCACACTCCACCTACTGCTTCATATAGCCTTTCCCATCCCTCATTATACCTTCCCCAAGAATAGTGATATAGCTATTTCTGTGCAAGAAAAAACAGTATGACCCAGGTTTTTGAGGTGTGTCTTGGGCCAGAGCCAAGAGAACTGGCATTGCTTAGTTTAGGATCACATTAAATTGCAATCAAGACACATGCGTAGCATTCATATTTGGCTTCGCTTCCTTCCATTTTGCATTTTTCCTGAGGCCAGATTTGTTGTTGTTATTATTTTTGATTTGGGTTTTTTTGTTGTGTTTCTGCCTCCACCATTGGCTTGAAACAGAGAACCAGCTAAGGAGAAAATATGGTGAATTAGAAACACTTCAGAAAGTTCTGTATTGAGTTCTGATTCTGTCATTAACCAGCTGTATGTTTAAGAACCCAAATTTCTCAACAGTCAGTAATACTACTCACCTGAAGCCTTTTCTAATGACAATTAACCTGAGATATGTCAAAAGCTTGTCAGAGAACATGCACTTAACAGATGGAAGTCTCCTTCCCCCTTTCTCAGATTCACGAATGTTTAAATGAATTCCAATGAAATTTATGGTGCTTCTTCCCACTCCTTTCATATTTACTCTTAATGTTAAATACTAAAGGGCTGGAATTTCTGTCACTTCCCATGATCCCTTTGTCTTCTAGCCTGTACTTGGCTTTCTTAGGGGTTGGTTTTTTTCATGTCTCTTTTCCTGAAATCTACTCACCAAACCATTGGATAACAGACTTGTTATAAGCACTAGTCCATATTGTCTTTCCCTATGCCAAGGTTAATTAGCTACACCACTACTGATACAATGAGCCAAGTAATTCTTTATTGCGAGGGGCTGACCTGTGAATTGTAGGATCTTCAGCAGCATCTCTGATCTCTACCCAACAGATACCAGAAGCATCCTCCACCCCTGCCCCAAGTTGTGACAACCCAAAATGTTCCCAGACATTGTCAAATGTCTCTTACACACCACAGTCAGTCCTGGTTGAGGACCACTGCACTATATCTTTCCCAGTCTCTTTCCTTCAAGACTTTTAGGATGAATTTTGTCCTTACCAAGAAGCAACAGCAATATTGCCACACCATTTAGGAGATTCCAAATCACCATAAGATTAGGTACAACTCAAGGAGAGATGCAAATAACCTGATATAATTTAAATGGATCACTCATGAGATGCCAGAGTTGACTCTTACCGTTTCTGAAACGAGGCAGGATAAATACTAATTGATATACATATTAGTGTTTGTACTAGTCTGTTTTCACACTGCTATAAAGAAATAACTAAGACTGGGTAATTTATAAAGGGAAGAGGTTTAATTGACTCACACTTCCACATGGCTGGGGAGGCCTCAGGGAAACTTACAATCATGGCAGAAGGTGAAGGGGAAGCAAGGACTTTCTTCACATGGCAGAAGGAGAGAGAAGAGCATGAGCAAGGGAAATGCCAGATGCTTGTAAAACCATCAGATCTCATGAGAACTCACTCCTATCACAAGAACAGCACGGGAGAAACAACCCCCATGATCCAATCACCTCCCTCCCTTGACACATGAGGATTAGAATTCAAGATAAGATTTCAGCGGAGACACAGAGCCAAAACATGTCAGTGCTATACATGATGCTCCTTATGAAACAAATCTAAATTCTTCACCATACTATGGCCCCTCATTTGGATGCTGTTTCCAACAAGGTAAATACAAAAGAACCCTCACTTCCTTAGGAAAATTTCTCTGATTTTTGGAGTAATGGTTAATAGCAGTCCAAATAATGGGTCACACATAGTGATTTGCTTCTTACCTATCTTACGTCATGAAAAGCTTATGACAGTTCTATACTGAGTGTCTTATTATCTTCCTTTTGTAGATAAAGAAATTGGAGCAAAGAAAGGTTAAGGGACAATTGCAACGTAAAGTAATTAGTGGATGACTGAGGTTCAGTTTAAATGCAGGTCTGTCTGACCACAAATACTTATAGCTCACCTTTACCTCACCTTTATGTTCAGTAGCTCCATGAATTGCATTTATAGCACAATATTGAGATTTCATGTTTGTTTGTGTGTCCCTCAATTACTAGACTGTGAGGTCAGAAACAATGATATGCATATTCCCAGCTTCCCCTTAGATATAGAATCTGAATCTCGATGTGTTTTTACGTGTTAACATATTTACTACATTACATATTAAGTATATGCTAGACTAAAAATAAAGAGGGTAGAATTATATTACCGCATTGGGCTCTCCAGCATTGCAACATGGTTCTACTTTGTGATTTGAGGAACAGGTGCATGGTGGAACTTGAACATTTGTCCACTGGAAATGAATCAGGTAAGAAATATTTGAGTCCCTTGCAAGTGCCAGGCTCTGTGATAGGAACTGGGGTTACAATGGTGAATCAGGTAGACATATTCCCTGCCATCAAGAATACTACAATGCAATTACTGAAAACTGAAAAAAAAAATGAAAACCTCATTAGAAAGCATCTGGCTCATTTGAAAATGGGAATAATAATATAAAGTCTAAAAAAATATAATTCAAAGTTGAGAGCTGATGAGTCAAACTTGAAAAATAAAATGCTGCCCACTGTTTCTGTATATGGAATCATTCAGTGAGACTCATAAACTTAGTCTCCCTGTATAGCCACAAAAAGAACTCGGCAAATTTAAATCCCTAACTATCATCAAAAATGTTTTCAAGATTTATTCCCACCATCTAGGGAGCTGTTTAGTCTCCAAAGGATATAAAGTTTAATTCTTCCCAAGTATAATAGCATCCATAAGTTGTTGTCAGGGCTTGATCATTTCTCATCTTTAGCATAAACTGACCAGATTCTGACTCCCATTCCCTTTAAGTCTCTGAGAGCTCCAGGTTCCTCTGCAGCTCTCTCCAGAGGGCACATGTAATAACCACAGCAATGATCTTTTCTATTTACTAGTACTTGCTTTTCTCCCAGGGCATTCCAACTGGTTTAATAATAACTCCACCAAATCTTCATGTAAAATGTACTGGTAGCATCTAAATCTGTACCATGATGGAGAGATCTCCATGTTAAAGTTAAAAAGAATCTAGATATAGTTATCTCTATGTTGAAGGTTAAACAGATCTAGATAGATAAGTTATAGAGATACACACAGATACAGACAGATATATGCCAAGAGACGTTCTTGGGAATGTAGTATCTTCCTTTATGAGACTTCATTGAAGTAGGTAATATCCCACAAACGGAAATAAAGTGTGATGTAACATGAGTGAGAACCAGGGTCCATGGGCAGGTAAAATATTAATAAACTAGAAGTCTCTCATCATGAAGCAACACAGTAAGTAGCAGGCACAGAAGAGAATGGGATGAGTAAGTTTCTGAGGGGCTTTTAAGAAGGCTTTAATATAGATAGATAGATAGATAGATAGATAGATAGATAGATAGATAGATGTAATCATCAACAGTTATAAGCCAAGAAAAAACATGCATATTCTCTTTTCTGCTTCTCCCCAACATTTGCCAAGAAAGAGTTTTACTCCCTGATAGAATTCAGAAGAAAAACTTAAAAGAACTAAAGGAACCATGATGGTTGCTACTACAGGAAAAGGCAACGTTTGAAGCTGTAAGATGGTGAATGTAAGGATCATTTTGAGGATGGGCCATAAAAAAGTGTTATACATGTAAGTTCGAGTTTTTTTGTCTGAAGGCAAAGATGTGCTAAGAAGAGACACCTATTTCAAACTCAACGACCTTTTGTTGGAGAAATTTGCTTTAAAAAAAAGTTTCCTAACACTAATCTTTAGTTGATATTTCATGCATCTCACCCCTTAAAATGTCACCTTCTCTATAACCTAACTCAGCAACTGCTGCTTCTGATAACAAGTCATTGTCTTCAATCAGATAGCTTAGTTCTCTTTTTTGGGCCAGTCTCCATTTCTTTATTCTCTATTTCTACCTTTGTAAGTGACCTTCTTTTCTTCAGGTAGGAAATATTAAAGCAAATATTTTCAAACAGGATATACAGCATCCCAAAACTGTTCTGCAATGAACTTGCCAGGTGGTGGTTGCTTGCTAGCATATGGCTCATGCTTGAACTTAGCACTGCTTGCCATATTTAATTTTTAAATTATGTCTTACTTTTAAAAATCTCCTGAAAACATAAGGGCCAGTTTTCTAAGCCAAATTTGTAAACCAGTTATGCAAAGTGAGAAAGGTACTTGGAAATAAATTAGGGAAAGTGTAGAACACCAAATAGACTTATGGAAGAAGGATTCCTAGGTTCCATATTTCTGGATTCCTTCTGTCCTAGAATCTCTTTAAAGGAAATTCTGGGCCTTTTTTCTCACTTGTCTTCTAAGATGTACTATTTGCAAGGATATGGAAAGGAGAAAAAACACAAATACAAAAACACAAATACAAAACTATCCTAATATAAATTAGTCAACTCATAATTCTCTTTACATGGCTTCAAACATTTTATAGTTTTGTGGCATGGTTTTGCAAACTACAGCTCATAAATATGTCCCAAAATAATATGTATAAATATGATGTGTTGGTTAATTGCCAGGATCTACGACAAAAAAAATAATATCCTATCAAATGATCTGGTTCTAATTATTTCATGGTGGTGCAGGTGTTTTTTGCTAAAGGGAAAGTGGCCATTACTTATTAGTAAACAAGCATGATATTGGCTGCTGTAAGATGAAAAATGAGAATAATGAAAAATAATGAAAAACCACTTGACGCTCTCAAAAGGGACTTGCTATTTTGAGAAGCCCGGGTTCCAGAATGTATTAAGCTGCATTTTATACCTGGGTAATTATATGGATATTTTTCAGTTCTTCGCTGGAGCCTTAATTTTCCAATCTAAACACTGCCAGTTACATGGTAATTAATCTTTGAACTTTTTGATGACTTCAAGTATTATTAAGCAGTAACTTGCAGAACCATTTCATTACAAGGTAATGATTAGTTTTATATGCAATTCCCTAGAACTTTTCAGCTAACAATTTCAAAATGGCTTGTGGAGTCAAATGAAGATGTAAGGGGGTTTTCTTTTTTTTGTCCAAAGTCAACAAAAAAATAGAAGTGAAATTCAAATTACTTATTCAATTTCTCCAACTTTCTGGAGATGCGGGAATCCTTAGAGCAAGAATTCTAGATTTTACATAATTCCGTCACAATATCAGATGCCATTTTTTAAATAAGATGAGCTACTCTGAAAATGAGTGAGAAGGAGTGTTAAGAAATAAATGTGGTATAGCCGTGCATTAATTATTCCCATGTAAAGAAGAGAATGTTACCTCTTGGCACTTGCTTAGTCTGGATTCATCTCTTAACACCCACCCTATTCGCCCACACCTTGCAAGGGCAATTTCTGTGTGCTCATGCATTTTTCAAGAAATCAAGGATAGATTTATTTAATGTTAGAGAAAAAAACTGCCTGAAGATTTCTGCCCACAACAAGTGGCCCTAGAAAATTACAGTTGCAGCACACCAGCATGGCACATGTATACATATGTAACTAACCTGCACATTGTGCACATGTACCCTAAAACTTAAAGTATAATAATAATAAAATAAAATAAAGTAAAATAAAATAAAATAAAATTACAATTGCATTCAGATACAAACAAAAGGAACCAGAGAGAACTGTCTTACTAGATAGGACTTTGAATCTGGAGTCTGATTCCTACCCAGACACTGAGCACTAATCAAATGCCCTGGTATTGAACGAAGGATATTCCCAAAAAGAATACTCACCTCAGGCAAATACATTTATTATTTTAATTTTCCTCAGAATGCCAAATGAAGACTGCCCAAGCAAACCAGCTTCTTCCCCAAATCTTTAAGTCAAAGTCTCCTCATTCAGGAGGTTCACTTCCAACAATAATAATCAAAAACGGACAAACGACAACAACAAAAACTCCACCACGAACAACTGAAGATTTTGTCTCCTGACTATGGTTTCTTCAGGCTCTCTAAATATATGGGACTCTGGGCTCCTCAACCTAGCAGATCTAGTTGCCGGTCCTGGATATCCAGACGTACTACCCAGCATGTATGTAGTATTAACAGGACAAGTTACTAAGTTTGTCTTCCTCCCAGTTTCCAAGAGGAAAGTTGAAATAAATAATATTTATCAAACATAGTTGTTAAAAAACAACTAAATAAATTATGCCAGGTAAAGTGTCTAGTTCATTGCTATTATAGAATAGTGGCTCATTCAATAGGTTACTAACCAATCTTAGTAACAAAGGAAAGCAGAGTCTTCTCAATTCAAATTTCTAAGAATGTCCAGGGATTGAGGGTACTCTTAACATAAAGAGATTCTTTTAATAATCCCATGTAATTTGTTTACATAATCCTTAAGATGCAGACATTATAGATTGATTCACCCAACCCTATCCCAACACCCTTGTAGTGTGTGTCCCAGCTCACTTAATGCTGGAGAGTTAAAGTCTAAATTTCCCAGACTCCTTAGTAGTCAGAGTTCCACAGGTAATCTGACTGTTACCAAGCCAACTCTGTCACTCGAGATTTTGAAGGCAAAGATAAATGTGGTGGAATCGGTTGTTTTTGTTGTTTTGTTCTGTTTTCCTGTAGATATTGAAACTGAATTTCTGTTCTATGGTCTGCAGTCTAATGGATACCAAGGGACTGCAGTGACAGCCTCAGGATTTCAATTGCAACATCTGTACCAAGTGGTCGGCCATTTCTCCTGGCTGCATTGCTTACAGCTGGGCAGGACCCAAGCTTTAGCTGCATGAACCTCCAAGACATTCTGTAACTAATTGCCCTTAATAAATTTCTTTCTGCTTAAACTAAAACCCTGACAAATACATTAGCAGAATACCATTTGACAAAAAGGTCATATCCAAGAAAAGAAGTAATTTTACCTCATATCAAACTTCTGATCTTATTCTAAGGCCTCCACCTCCAAGGGCTTCCTTCCCTTTGCAGGTTCTTCCAAGTCCTTCCCTTTCCATTTTGCTGATGGATCACCTCCCCACCACCCCTGCCCCATGCTTTAAATATGTTACAAAACTCTTAACTTGAAGGTCCTTGCCTCTTGAAATGCATTTCTACCTTTTTTTCCTGCAGACACTCTGTCATTCTTCCATAGAAATATTTAAGCAGGGCCTCTTTGTCCTGACCTATCTCAACTGTGATCACTCAGTAATCTGAGATGTTTGAGCCAAATGGAGAGATCAATAGGGAGAGAGCTATCAGCAATTAGCAATTGCCTGGTGCATTTTTTATTTCTCAGAGTGAGCAGGTTGAAATGCCTGCAGGATAACAAGTTCTGGCATGAGGAAGAGAAACCAGGAAAGGGAAATAAGAGGGGGTTCTGCTCCTTTTTTGAAATGAGCGTGGTTTTCCATTCTATTCTTAGAGCATGAAGACACAGCCTCCTGTGGGTCACTTATCACTGGGATGTAAAGAGGAATCTGTCATGCTGGAACAGCCCAGGGATAGTGAGCTCCAGCGTGCATACCCACAAAATGTCAGTTTAACTGAGGTCTTCATTATGTGGGCATGCAGTCCTTTGAGAATTATATATAAAATATCACGGAGTGAATACTACTATGTGCCTGACACTGGGCAAGGTGCTACAAATATCCCATGCAATTTAATCTTCAGAGGTCCTGCAAGGTCAGAATTCTAATGGGCACTTCACAGACGAGGAAACTCAGAGTAGTTAAGTGACTTTTCTGAGTGCACAGCCAGATAGTTGTTAAAATTTGAACTCAGGTTTGTCTAATGTTCAGAGTCCATGTTCTGTACAACTGCACCACCTCTTGGAGTCAGCACAGCTACCTCAGCCCTGGACAGTTCATTCTGGTTGATTCTGAGAAATAAACTTTGTAGTGAGAAAGACTTAGAAAGCCCTTTCTTCCTAATTCATAAAACAGGGCTTGAAAACATTTTCATATAAAGAGCCAGACAGTATCGCTTTGTGGACTAAACAGTCTCTGATGCAAATAGTCAACTCTGCCTTGTAGAGCAAAAGCAGCTACAGATGATATGTAAATAGATGGGTGTAGCTATGTTCTAATAATGTTTTATTTACAAAAGCAAGTGGAGGACTGGATTTCATCCTGTGCCATAGTTTGCTGACTATTGCTCCAAAACCAAACAAAGCCATTTCAGAGTGCATGAGCTTCTAACTGGTATGAGCAAGAATGACTGTAGAACTCCAAAGCCATAGCTAAATCTTGGGCCACTATTAAAGATTCTTGTCATGTCCTGGGTGTGACTTACATTTGGTTAGAGGTATTTCGGACTGTGGCATCCAAGAAGCAAGCAATACAGTTTTTATCTTTGACCCTTGCACTTGCTTGATGCCAAAGAATAGATTGAGACCAACTACTTCAGGTTTCAGAGAGTTTACTTGTGTCCTTTGAGGCTTAGGGACAATCCTTTGTGACAGAAATGAAAGGACAGAGTGTATTATGTTCAAAGCCCAATAATGCTTACTTTTCTGACAGAACAAATGTCTAGTCATCCAACTCATCTCTTCACTTTTCCCAGTGTGAGGTGGAACAAATGTGGTCTTTGCATGAGAAAGAATGAGAAGAGAATGCTGACACCAACAGTTAATTTTTTATGTGACCTTGAGAAAAGCATTCATTCATCTGGGCCCAAGTTTATGCATTTTAACTTGGTGATAATTGTACCAATGTGTGCCTCATAGAGTTGGTAAAACTTTTAGTTGGTTGACACATGTAAGAAGACTGCTGCATAGTCTTGAGTGCCTCATGTACACGTGTTGGGTTCCTAACACAGTGAAACTGAGGTGCCATGTCTCCAGGAAGGCAATCTGGTGCTTTCTTATTGTGTGCCTTCTGGGCTGTAAGATCAAGCAGAAACCGGCCAGGCAGGATGGCTCACGCCTGTAATCCCAGCACTTTGCGGGGCTGGGGTGGGTGGATCACCTGAGGTCAGGAGTTTAAGACCAGCCTGGCCAACATGGTGAAACTCCATCTCTACTAAAAATACAAAAAATTAGCTGGGTGTTGTGGCGAGCACCTGTATTCCCAGCTACTCGGGAGGCTGGGGCAGGAGAATTGCTTGAACCCAGGAGGTGGAGGTTGAAATGAACTGAGATCGCGCCATTGCACTCCAGCCTGGGTGACAAGAGTGAAATTCCGTCTCAAAAAAAAAAAAAATCAAGCAGAAAGCAAGGTTTACTAGTCAAATGCCTGTGCTGAGGGGCTGGATGAGGAAGGGCAGTGTCACTTAGATAGGAGAGTTGAACTCCTGAACATCACATTGGATCTAAGTCTCAAACAAGCAATTGCAGAGTCATGCTCCCCATCCCAGGTAATGGGACCCTCAGGGAATGCTCCCAATGACATTATTTCAAGGACGAGCATTTCTGAGTGTTCCACAAAATTCCAGTCCTCCTCTTCATTCCCAGAAGGCTTTATAAAAGATCGGCTGTCAGATATCACAACAGGGCTCCACCAATCAGCCTCCGTCCAGGCAATGATTTGTCTATCCCCATGTCTCCCTTTCACAATGCAGGGGATCCAAGCAAGAGCAGATAGTCAATGGAAATTGACGATCTGGCAATTAAAGCTGAAGATTCCAATTGCAGCTAAAGTGCCAGGGCTGGGCCTTGTAGCCCTCAGAGCCATGGAGACTAAGTTTCAAATTTTGATAGCCACTTTTTTCAGCTGATCTTTAGCAGATGGCCCTGAGCCTGAAGCTGTTTAATTGATTATCCCCCAGGGTGCTGGGTCTCTTATTTTCCCCCTTTGGCAATTTTCTTGCTTTTGACAGGTGCTGGTCCCCCCGGGTGGCCTTCTAATTAGGAACTTTCTGTGATGTGATGACACAGTCCATTGTGTCCACTTTGGGACTTTCTCAACATAACTAGAAAAAATATAAAACTAGCAGTTCCATTGCTTGTATACAGCACTGTGCTTAGCACTGAAAGACTAATGTTACTTTCATCCAGCTACCTAAGAAATAAGCAAATTACTTTTGCCATATGGATAGTCATGAGGTATATATCTAAGGGCTGTCCAGTTTCAGAATATCACTGAACATGGATTGGGGAAAAGTACACTGATATAGAAGCAGTAAACATGAGACCCTGCATGTTTTTTTTTTGTTTCATCAAAGTAAAATTCACATATTATAAAGTTCTCCACTTTAATCATTGTAAAGTACTGTGTACAATTCAGTAGCTTTTACTGCGCTCACAATGCTTTGCAATTATCCGCCACTATCTAATTCTAGAACATCATTACTCTAAGGAGAAACCCAGTACCCGTTAAGCAATCACTCCCCATTGCCTCTTTCAGCTAGCCCCTGGCAATCACTAATCTGCTTTCTGTCTCTGTGGATTTGCCTATTTTGGCCATTCCATAAAAATAGAATTATCTTCTCTGTGGCCTTCTGTGATTGGCTTCTTTCACTTAGCATAATGGTTTTGAGGTTCACCCATGTTGTAGCCTATATCAGTACTTCATTCCTTTATGTGACTGAATAATATTCTGTTGTATAGACACACCACTTTTTATTTATCCATTCATCAGTTGATAGACATTTCAGTTGTTTTCACTGCTTGGCTATTGCAAATAGTACTGTTATGAATATTTCTGTACAAGTTTTGTTTGAACATATGTTTTCCATTCCTTGGGTATATTTCTAGGAGTGGAATTGCTGTGTCATGTGGTAATTTTATGTTTAACTGTTTGAGGAACTGCCAAACTTCTTTCCAAAGTGGATACACCATTTTCATTTGCACCAGCAATGTATTAAGTTTCCAGTTTCTCTGTAGCCTCACCAACGCTGGTTACTTTCCATATTTTTTATTATGGTCATCTTAATGTGCATTCAGTGGTATCTCATTGTTGTTTTAATTTGCATTTCTCTAATGACCAGTGATGGTGAACATCTTTTCATATACTTGTTGACCATGTGTGCATCTTCTTTGGAAAAAGTCTACTCAAGACTTTCGTAATTTTTAATTGGGTTGTTTGTCTTTTTGTTGTTGAATGTATATTCTGGATACTAGACCGTTATCAGACGTATGATTTGCAAATATTTTCTTCCATTTTGTGAGTTGTCTTTTTACTTTCTTGATAGTTTCCTTTGATAAACAAAAGTTTTTAATTTTGATAAAGTCCAAGTTATCTGTTTTCTTTTGTCACTTGTGCTTCTGCTATCATATTTTAAAAACAAATTGTGAAATATAATGTCATGAAGATTTTTGCCTATGTTTTCTTCTAAGAGATATATAGTTTTCACTCTTAGGTCTATGATTCATTTTGTCTTAATTTTTGTAAATGGTGTGAGGTAAGGTCCAAATTCATTCTTTTGCAAGTTGTCTTGAACCATTTGTTGAAGACTATTCTTTCCCTACTGAATGATCTTGGAACTCTTGTCCAAAATCAATTGACCATAGATGTATGGGTTTATATCTGGATTATCAATTCTATTTCACTGGTTCATATGTCTAGAGTTATGCCAGTCTTCCCTAAATATTCTTTTGGTCAAGTTAATCCATTCTTTGAGCATCAGATTTCTCATATCTAAAGTATGTGTATTGGGAGGAAGGAGGCAGATGGATGAATGATAGTCTATGGTGCTTTTCTAACTCCCATAATAAATGTTTTATCATGAAAATTTTTGTTACCATTTTTAAAAAGAATGGGAAATTCTATAGGCTCCTTTCTGTACCTTGAGGATGGCGTTAAATTTAAAAATATTAACTACGGTTACTATTTTTTTTAACTATGGTCTAATTTTTTTAAGTTATCAAGAGGCACAAAAGTGCAAATACCTGTGTAGTTCTAAAATATGTATAGAATGGGACTGACTTGACAATGGAAGAGACAAATATCTATATTTTTGTTGATAATATTACTGGGAATCATGGAGATATAGCTTTGACTTCTCTAACCTTTTGTCATAATTTCTGGATATTGTTAATTGTTTTCTCTTTTCTCTTATATTTTTAAAAAAATAGAGATGGGGTTTTGCCATGTTGTCCAGGCTGGTCCTGAGCTCCTGGGATCAAGCAATCCTCCCATCTCGGCCTCCCAAAGTGCTGGAATTACAGGAATGAGCCACCACACCCCGCTAATATTGTTAAATTTTAAAAGAATTATTTTAAAGGTGCAGGCCAGGTAGAACTAGGTCTGGGTGGATGGGTAATGATTTCAAAGTCTATTTAACCACTTTATTCTCTCCAACAAATTTCTTCATAATATGAACCCAAGTTATTCACATAACTCATATGAAACTCCCAATAAAAATCTTACAGGCCACTCTCAATAACTTCCATGCTAAACAGACCATGTTCATTCCTTGCTTGACATCTTTGCTGTCTAGTATTTGGAATGACACTTTCCAAATACTAGACAATGAACAGGTTATATCAGAATTACTAGAGTACTCCTTGCTAATAAACAAATTATTCTAGAATCTACCCAGATTAATCAAATTAGAACATGAAAGGAAGAAGGGGACTAGAGAAGAAAGGCACTGAACAAACACCCCATGGAATTCTGATGCAGAGCAAAAGTAAAGTACTCTGTTCTAATGCTTAAGGGACAGCTGTACATAGTATATGGTATTGAAAGTTAGGACAGGCCTACTTCAGAATAAGTGTGGGCACTGGAGTTAGATATAGAATCATACAATGTTAAACTTATAAAATCAAATATATGTTGAGGCAAGGAATTGTGTTAGAAACTACATAAAACAGGCCGGTGCAGTGGCTCATGCCTGTAATCCCAGAGCATTAGGAGGCCGAAGTGGGCAGATCACTTGAGGCCAGGAGTTCAAGACCAGCCTGGCCAACATGGCAAAACCCTGTCTCTACTAACAATAAAAAATTAGCCAGGTGTGGTGGCACACACCTTTAATCCCAGCTACTCCAGAGGCTAAGGCATGAGAATTGCTTGAACCTGGGAAGCGGGGGTTGTGGTGAGCCAAGATTACACCACTGCACTCCAGTCTGGATGACAGAGCAAGACTCTGTCTCAAAATATATATATATATATATATATAAAAAACAAGGAAAGATGAGTTCAGAATTCAGCTGATACTATTGCAAAGATCAGAGGAAAAGATTCAATGACTGCTGTTTGGATTAAAGATTTAGATACCCAAGAAACTGAGGTATCCAAGAGAGTTTCAATGACATTAGCTTGTAGAAAAGCAATGTGAAGGTAGGCAACATTTCTGTGTCTGAGTTCCAGCTGACTTTACTTCCCTAAGGAGTACTGAGCTTGAAAAAGACTGAGGCCATTGTGGCCAGCTTTCCTGCCTAAGGATACAGGTGGGCATTTACCGAGCACCTGCTATGGGTGAGGTGAATTACTTGTTTTAATTCTGAAATGATCATGCAAACTACAGTGCATCCGTAACAGGCAAAAGTGAAAACTCATGGAGTTTCAATACTTATTCAAAGTCATACAAATAATAAATGGAAGTACTGAGATTCATATATAATACTATCTACATTTGGTATATACTACTCAGAAAGTTTAGCCTAAGCCTTATTGGGAAACTTATCTTCAGACCTAAGTAGCTTACTAAAGTGACCAGGTCATCCAATCTAATGGTAACTAACTGGGAGGATTCATCCACTGTGGCAAATCATTTTACGTTCGTGTGTTTTCCAGATTAAGGATGTGATCTCAGTCTAAAGACTGGATTTTCATATCTTTCCAAATATCATCTATCTTCCAATGCTATCTCTTACTTGTTGATCATCTGACAGTTCTGAAAATTCTGACAAAGATTGATCTTTCCCCTTCCTGTCATCTGCTACATGGATTATTTTGGTTATTTTGTCTGTAGATTTTACAACTTATTATTATTCTTGTTTTAGTGTTTGGGACTGATTACAACTTCTTTCATGCAACTGCTTCTTGGTGGTTACAGAAGCCATACGGTGTGTTCCAGGAGCTGCTACCACATAGAACTGTTATACATTTTCTAAATGCTTGTTGAATTAAATTGAAAGTATAGTGAATGTCTATGACAGGAGGGACTTTTAGGCACACAAGATGAAGAGGGAGCAGTCCTGAGAGTAAGTTGCTAAATTCCTAGATTCCATTACATGTTTCATGCTGCTACCCTATTAGTATTCCAATGGAAATCATTTCCCATAAAATACATTAAAAAACCATAGGAACCCTAAACTAAGAGACCAAATGGTCATCATCTATATCTCAGTATTCTAGAAAAGAGGTTCAAATAGCAAGTTTGCCACAGGGCACTAGCTTGCAGGTCCTATAGTGATGCCCACCAAGCTCTGAGGAAGCTCAAACACCTATTAAGATAGAGGTGTGTGAGAGTGGGGAGAGAAAGTTTTTTTAAAAAAAGATACAGGACTGTGTGTGTGTGTGTGCGTGCGTGCATGCGTGTGTGTGTGTGTGTGTGTGTGTTTGAAGGACAAAAATATACCCATGGCTTCCTTTCTATTCAGCTGGTGAAGTTAATATGCCACACAAGTTCCTTTCCTCAGGTTGATAATGTTACCCAAATGCCTTGATGAAATAACATCTAGAATGTCTTTTTTCTGGAGAAACACAGTACTTTCCTCACCTGAAGTTTCTTTCTGTGGGCTTTGTGATTAGAAAATGGTTGCCAAGTGCAAAATGCAGCTCTGTGTACCTTCTTCAGAAAGTTTTTCAGATCCTGGGATGAGAAATAAGTAATGAGAATGCATCATCATGTTACAAATAACAACAAAAACACCCTTATAATACTGCTGAGTTTTAAGAAATCAGATAAGAGAAAGCAAAAGTAGTGGAAATCAAGGATGACAGTGTATATGTTACTGACGGTGGAGTTTCCTAGTCTCCTGGTGACTATTTTCATCACCAGAAACAATTCAAATGATTGGAGCCATCTAAGCCAAATTGAGAGTCATACAGATAAATTTGATAAGACTTACCAGGGCTAGCCCCAGGCAAGGGTGAGATATCTTATGCTCCCTATCATCAGAAGCACTCACTTGGTCAAGTGAACATTCCCCTACTCTTTCAAAAACATAGGGGGTCTCTAAGTATCACAAAGACTGCTAAAACTTACACGTGTTTCAAACCACTCTCTGGAGTGAGTGAGGATTGAGAGCCACTGAAATGGGCACTGTGGCAATCCAGGTTGGCCGGGGCTGGATTGCAGTTTTACTTAGACCTGGATCATTGGCCAGGAGGTATAATTTAAAGGCTCATTACTCACCTCCCCCTTAGCTTTCCAAGAGGGTGGAATCAAGTCCATTTGTATTCAGCTGTTTGTCCCCCTCAATGGGATCATCTATAAACTCACATGAAATTTCCAGCAAAGAAAAATTTAAACAACCTGGCAGCAACTACCAAAGCCAAAGTACAAGCTGCGGTGATGGGAATTTGGCTGAAACTTGTCTCAGATGATCTCTATCTCACCCTCTTAACTCCAATTGATAATCCGAGTCTGCATTATGCTACTTCCCTGGGGGAAAACATATTTCATTGTTGCATGATGTGATATTCCTTGCCTAACAATGGAGCCTATGGAAGTGTTGGGACTCCAGATTAGGAGCACAAGTGTACAGGCAATTGGGCTGAGCCCAGACATCATGAAACATTGCAGGCAGTGGCTTGTAGGACCTTATTTCTGACTCTGTAATTAGACACAGTAATGGATTTAGATGCAAAAGCTTTGACCTTGCACATGTTATTTCCTCTAGCTAGAAGGTTCTTTAGCTTATTCTCCATCCTTCCAGATTTTGCAGTGTGATCTACTCTGCAAAGCTTGCCTTTAACCTGAAACCCTACTGCCTGCCAGCAGATCCCATTACTTCTTTTTCTATGATTTGTGCTTATCTGTGAACCCCAATCTTATGCCTGCCTTGGAGCCTTGCACTTTGCACTTGCTTTTTTTTGGTCTGTGATATTCTTCTGAATTTTGTACGTCTGATTCTTTCTCATCACATATAGCTCACTCAAATGTTTGTACCTTAGAGAGGCCTTCGACCATGCTGGATGCAGATCCATTCCTCAACACTTTTCATGACATTATCCTTATAAAACTGTTCAGCACAACATTTGTCACTGTCTGAATTATGTTACTTATAAACATATTTAATGATCACTAATTTATGGCCGTGATTTTGTATGTTTATTTACTAATTGCCTATGACCGTCTCGCATCTTTAAAATATATGCTCCAGGAGGTCTTGCTTCTCTTGTTCACTGCTATATCCCTAGACCCCATAGTAGATGTTCTATAAGTATTTTACAAATGAAGAAATCAATGGCTCCAATATTGTCCCGTACTTAGTGCTATTAAAACTCTTACCACATTTTCTTGCAGTGACTTCATTAGAGATGAGTCTTTTAACAATCCTGAAATCTCTTGAAGGTCAAGTTCTGTGTCATCTTCATGTGTATAATACTAGCAACTTGGTACACAGCCTGGCATATAGTATGTGTTTACTAGGAATCTGCTAAATAAAATAACAACCAGGCTATGTATTCTTTACTTTATTCATATTTTGTTCTGTGGTAATAGGTCTGCTCAAGCTCACAAGCAAGAGACCAAAGAAAGCATCTAAGTCCTTCCAAGGGCTTGGCCTCAGTGGGCACCGTGCAGAGCCACTACCTCAAACTCCATCAACTTCTAGATCCTGTTCTTTTCCCTCCGGCCTTAGCAACTGGCCAGCATCTCCCATTTCCTCATCCTTCTACTTTATAAAAAGTTGATGTACATTTCTTTGTTCCCTTACTTGACTTTCTTATGTTCAAGAAGGTGGCCTTCAAAAAGATGCACCACAGTTTCATGGAACTTATTTTCAATGCAATTAAATAGCAAGAATTAGTGTTCAAAATATATAGACTCTTTGAAATCAACATTTAAAAAAATCAAAAATTCAAAGAAGAAAAAAAAGATGTAAGTATTGATAAAACATTCTTGGAAGAAGAAACCTAAGTGACCACAAACTCGGTAGTAATTGAGAAAAATGCAAATTATCCATATGACCCAGCAATCTCTCTGCTGGACATATCCCCAAAAGACATGCAATAAGAACCTCAAAAATATATCTGTGCTGTCATGTTCATTGGAGGACTATTCATATTAGGCAAAATATGGAAACAACCAAAGTGTCCACATACATATGTATACAAAGGAACATTATCCAGCATTAAAAAAGAAGATCCTGACATTTATGAATGAATCTGGAAGACGACATGCTAAGGGAAAAAAGCTAGACCCAGATAAAAATACTGCATGATTTCACTTATATGTGGAGTCTAAAGAAAAAGTTGAATACATGGAAACAGAGACTAGAACAGCAATTACTAGGGTAGGGGAGGGGAGGAAAATGAGAGGATATAGATTTAAGGGTACAAATTTGCAGTTACATAGAATGAGTAAGTCTAGAGTATGTAGGATGAATAAGTCTAGAGATCTAATGTACAGCATGAAAACTATAGTTAATAATACTGTATTGCATACTGAAAATTTGTTAATAGATTTTAGGTGCTCTCACCACACATATACACATAAAAATGGGTAACTATGGAAGGTTATGGATATGTTGTGGATATGTTAGTTTGCTTGACTGTAGTAATCATTTCAGTATATATATATATAAACATTATGTATTAAATATATACAAATTCATTTAAAAAACAATCAAAGAATACCCATTAAATATTTGATTAGTACAAAAGAATCAGTAATAACCCTTCAAACAACATCAATTAGGCAAACACCACCAAGTGTTGACAAAATGTGGAGCATTAAGAAATCTCATGCACTGTTGGTACGAGTGTAAATTGGTACCACCAGTTGCAGACCAATTTGGCAACATCCAGAAGATGAACATACCTTTTGGCTCGACACTCTCCATACTGGCAAAACAGTAGTACAAGGGTACAAGGAGATAGGTGTGAGAATGTTAAATGTAGCACAGTGTTTAATAACACATGCATAAATTCTAGTGTTTCTAATCTAACACAACAAAACTAAAGGGCTAGATCTACATGTAGCAACATGCATATGTCTCAAGAACACATGCTGAAATAAGAAAGAAGGATTCATAAAGCATGACAACAATTACATGAAAGTTGAGATGTATCAACAAATGATAGAGAGATGGTCCTTAAAATGGTAAAAGCTAAATTTAGAATAATGGTTATTTTAGGTTGCAAAGAGGAAGATGGATTCTGACATGGGTATAGAGAGGATAACCATTTTATTTGTGATATTTTAGCATTTAGCTTATTAGTTAAGTATGTATGTGTCTATTATATTTTTATGTATTTAATACATAAATATGCCCTAAATATTTTATTAAAATTAATTGTACCCAATATCCTTTGTACGTATTGATGACTGCACAAGCCATATCCTGCCACACTCTCTTTCTACAACCCAGAGCCCCTGGCAGTCATGAGCTTTCAGAGCCAAGGCTTTGACACAAGTGTTAGTCCCGGAAGAATCAGGGGAACATCACACTCTAGGGACTGTTGTGGGGTCGGGGGAAGGGGGAGGGATAGCTTTAGGAGATATACCTAATGCTAAATGACGAGTTAATGGGTGCAGCACACCAGCATGGCACGTGTATACATATCTAACTAACCTGCACACTGTGCACATGTACCCTAAAACTTAAAGTATAATAATAATAAAATAAAATAATCCAGAAAAACTTTCAAAAAAAATCCAGAAAACCAAAAAGTCTCTGAAAAGAAGCCAAATCCCTTCACAACTATTTACCCAGTGGGTGTTTGTACACAAACTACCTGATACACTCCTATATCCTATGTCACCAGCACTAACCTAGAACACTAAAATCACTTCCCATCTCCAGTCATAGTTTCTGCCTCTGATGTAGTCCCAGCTCTCCTGTTTGAGTTTCTGTAACTAGACACTAGCTCTTACCCTCTGTACCCCACTAGAAAGAGCTCTCTGACTACTCAGTTGCCCTATAACTCAGTTCTCTTGGGGTTCGATTACCTGATTTATTTCTTGTGATTTTCTCCTAACTTCTGCTTCATTGCTGATATCTGTGTTTTCCAAACTGGATTGCTCATCATAATCACTACTGACCCTTTAAAACACGCACATCTCGGGCCGAGCATGGTGGCTCATGCCTGTAATCCCAGCACTTCGGGGGGCCAAGGCGGGTGGATCGCCTGAGGCCAGGAGTTCGAGACCAGCCTGACCAATATGGTGAAACCCCGTCTCTACTAAAAATACAAAAATTAGTGGTGATGTGCGCCTGTAGTCCTAGCTACTTGGGAGGCTGAGGCAGGAGGATCGCTTGAACCTGGGAGGTGGAGGTTGCAGTGAACAGAGATCACACCACTACACTGTAGCCTGGGTGACAGAGCAACACTCCATCTCAAAA
This sequence comes from Homo sapiens, assembly GCF_000001405.40. Lineage (NCBI taxonomy): Eukaryota > Metazoa > Chordata > Mammalia > Primates > Hominidae > Homo > Homo sapiens. The sequence continues at coordinate 86,785,388 of NC_000015.10, read as the reverse complement.
AAACAAAAACAAAAAAAAAAAAAAAAAAGAACCCGCAGATCTCTGTGCCTCTTCCCAGACCTTTTGAATCAGAAAAAGTCCTAAAGGATTCCGACGGTCAGCCAGATTTTCCAAACACTGACCTTGACCATGCTTCCCCTTGATTCTCTCCCTGCACCTCCTACCCAGACACTTAAGCCCCTTACTAAGTGCTATCTGGATGTGCTCCCTACAGCTGTGCCCTGGCTCTCCTTTCTCCTATTCCTCCTTAGCTTCAGGGATGGAAAGGGCAGAGAGTGCACCTTAGGAAGTGAGGTTTCCTCTGCAGTAACACCAATTCATTTGCATTCATTGTAAGAATTTGCCCGAGAAAGTACAGCCTTCCTCTTAATTTATACTGATAATTATTACTATTATTTGTAATACCGTGCTTGAAAAGGCACTTGAGAAAATACGAACTTACGAGCTAATTTTTTTTTAATAATCTTATTTTGAATAACTTGATTTATAGAAAAGTTGCAAAGATAGTAGTACAAAGATTATCTGTTCCAATGACGTCAAACTCCATTTCACCAATGAGCTATAAACTAGAAAGAACCTAATGCCTTGTAGGAACTCGGGCTATAGCTACTGAGCACTATTGTATTTTAGAGTATTCTATAGGCCAAGGCAGTCTGACTAACCTGTCTCTATGGATAATTTATAACGCAGTAGAAGCCACAGTTACCTCTGAACTGTGGCTCAGAGAGTGGTGGGAAACTGTATAAGAAAAGTAAGCTTTATCAAGCAATAGGGTCAGCCTGAATCAAAGCCCAGTACAGCAGTTTTTAATATATAGTTAATGAAGACACCTGGGGTACTCCCTAGAAAGCAGAATCATGAACCCAAGGGCAAATAAACTAAAATCTCTAAGGATAGAACCTGGGTCTCTGCATTCATAACGAGCTACCCAGGGATTTTTATTCACAGTAAAATCCGAAAACCAGTGGGGCAGAGAATATGCTCTGGCAAGCTGAAATAAATGTTGGCTATTATTTCTGGAATTTGCATAACCACGTCTCCTGTTTTCATTCGACCAGTTCACAAAGCAAATTATCTTTCTGGCTATATTTTTCCTGAATTCCATCAGTAGGTTGCCTCTGTGGGGAACAGGACTTTCTATGCTCCAACATTATTAATATCATTATTAATATTTAACATGGCACTAAGAGCTTATGATGTGCCAGCTCTGTCCTAAATACTATATAAGTTATCTCATTTAAAATTAACAACACTCCTTTATAGCAAGTATTATTATTATTCACATATTACAGACAGGGAACTGAGGTTAAGAGATTGTGCAAAATTGCACAGTAAGTAAACATTAGGGCAGGGATTTAATCTCACGTCACTCTGACCTCAAAATCCATGTTCTTACTTCTACTCCAACACCATTCCTCCTCTAAACCAGCAGTTTAAAATTTTTTTAAGAAAAGTGGGGGCAAGGCATGGTGGCTCACGCCTGTAATCCCAGCACTTTGGGAGGCCAAGGTGGGCAAATCACCTGAGGTCAGGAATTCGAGACCAGCCTGGCTGACATGGTGAAACCCCATCTCTACTAAAAATACAAACAATTAGCCAGGTGTGGTGGCATGCACCTGTAATCCCAGATACTTGGGAGGCTGAGACAGGAGAATCTCTTGAACCCAGGAGGTGGAGGCTGCAGTGAGCTGAGACTGTGCCTCTGCACTCCAGCCTGGGTGACGGAGTGAGACTCTGTCTCAAAAAAATACAAATAAAAATGGGTTAGAGTCCCAAAGAACCTCACAGTGTGTTCCTCTAATTATAATTTTCAAATAGTGATGCAAAGAAAGCCAATGGCAGGGAGTCCTGCACCTTGGAGACAGGACCACTCTACCATGATGGGAAGACATTCTTGGACACATAGACCACACATTCTTCCTGTTCTTGTGCTGTGAAGAAAAAGAAGACCATTTCTATTCCCAAAGAAAAAGAAAGGGTAAAAATGAGTGAAAAAGTTTGCTTTAAACAACAGACTTTCTGGAGATCCCCAGAGATTAGGAAATTCCATAGTAGCTGATAACATTAATTACAGAACAGATGCATGTCTTTAGTAGAAGATGAGAAAGAAAACAGAATAGAGGACCAGAACTTATTCTTAGGACTCGTGGTAGAAGAATAAACATGCATCTAAATGGATTAACAAGAAGGGAAAGGCAGTACCGGGGACATGGAAAGCAGGGGGTAACAATTAAAATAGCAATTTCATTTGGTGGAATAACTTCTTATAACAACTGGAAAGCATAAGCAACTTGGAAGGAGTAAAACAATTTCATGGATATGGATTCCTCTGGGATGCAACTGTTTTTCTCAGCCTTTTAACTAATTATACATGTCACTGGAGAGATGAAACATCACTTAAAACAAACAAACAAGGAAAAGTGGCCAAAGAATTTGGTTAGTGCAAGTTAAAGCTAATTTCCCTTCAATCAGACGTTGACATAGAAAGTAGTTAGCTTTGGGGCTTGTCAAATTTAACAAAAATGGCCCCACTGTCTTTAATTCTTAAAACATTTCACTGCTGACCTTCACAAGAATAAAGTATTTGCTTTACCATTGCAAGGCAAAGTTTCAGCAAATCTCAACATTTATAAAAATGTTTTCTAAGTATATGTAGATTTTTCTTACTTCCCTATTGCCACCTATCCCTACCTTGATCGATCCTGAATTTGATTGATATGCCCCAACTTTAAGTTGACTGATATCAACTTGAAGCAAAAATTAATGCAATTGTTAGAGTATTATCCAAGATTAGTTTCACTCATATTTTTGTGTCTAACCACCAGTCTCATCATATCTTTCAAGAACGCACACAAAAGTAGGAAATGATTATTTTTGGATTTTGCTTCCAATTCCTCAAATAAGATTAGAGCAGATTACATAGCATTTCAAACACATTTTAGAAATGAGAAATAGTAAAATCCTACTGTCTCTCCTGTAGAGTTTACACCTGAATTGTCTTGTCTGCTTTTGCAAGGGAATAATATATATCTTGGAATGGGAGATAATATCTACCAGGTAGCATAGAGTCAAATAATGACTCAGACATTATATATGGAAAATAGTACTCTTCATTGTTTTATAAATACTATTGTCAAATAATCCTTAAAATTTAAAAAATAATAAAGATTTTGAAATGAGTCAAGGCCCTTTGAGAGTTAAGGCTCTAATTATTTAAAAGAGATAAAAACGTAATACAGAAATAACAAACAAATATAATTTTTGATTCCTAGATTGTGTCAGGACTGATATTTGAATGAGTAGCGTTTTGAGATTGTGACTTTTGAGTCACAATTTTTGTAGATTAAAAGACTATGAAGTCCAAGATCTATAATAACTCTGCCACAGATCCAGAAGATCTATAAATTGTGATTAAGAGGGAAGGACAAAGAGAAACTTCTCGATAAAAAGTAAAAGCCATGATTCTGTTAATAGCTATAACAAGGCCAATTAAAAAAAAAAATGGGCAAAACCTCTCATGCTTGTTCTTCCCAGTAGATGATCAGAGTGTCATCATAGTCAACTTTTAACAAGATACATGTAAATGAGGTGGAAAAAACATGTTTCAGCTTCCAGTCTCATAAGCCTCAAGCTGAGGCTCCACTACTCTTGACTATATTGTCTTTGGTAGCCTAACCATCCCTGGAGATTTTAGTGACTCAATTTTCTTCTTACAATGAAACGACTCAGATATAAAAGTTCTTTAAGGATAGGTTTAATGTCACTGTTTAGTCCTAGAAAGGTATGTAGAGAGTGACACAGGGAGATATACAAAGAGTGGGGTAAGAAAAGATGATTTTTGTGTCTTAAAACGATCTCTAAGAGTCCTAAAAATCCTCATAATGATAATTACTGGTTTTGAGCACCTGTCATGGGTCATGCACTCAGAATACATTGCCTCATGTTTGCTACTAAATTCTTATATCAACTCCCACAAAGGAGGTGTTACATTGAAATATTAAGGGAAACCTATAAACAATTAGAGGCATAATGTGCACTTTTCAAAACAGTAAAGAGGAACGTGAGAATAAATAAAATTGATTAACCCTACGGAAGGCAGGAAATATAGAGCTAAAACTAAAGGCAAAACATAGTAAGTAGAAAATTCATAAACTGTTGGAGAAAATAAATTAACACATATCAGTAACATACATGGGCTAAACATGTCAGGTAATGACAGAGAGAACTTGAAAAAAAATTCATCTCTATGTTATTTCAAAGAGAAATGAACATAATACAGAATTAACAAATAAATACAAATATTTTAAAGGGTGCTATTTACAATAACATCAGAACATGTTAAATACTTAGGAATAAATTAAATTAATAAAAATTATAAAAACTTCAAAAATGAGCAATTCAAACAATTAAAAGAAGTTAAATTCCAGGTGCAGTGGCTCATGCCTGTAATCCTAGCACTTTGGGAGGCTGAGGTGGGTGGATCACCTGAGGTCAGGAGTTCAAAATCAGACAGGCAAACATGGTGAAACCACGTCTCTACTAAAAATACAAAAATTAGCCAGGTGTGGTGGCACATGCCTGTAATCCCAGCTACTCGGGATTGAGACTGAGGCAGGAGAATTGCTTGAACCCGGGAGGTGGAAGTCGCAGTGAGCCAAGATATCACGCCACTGAGCTCCAGCCTGGGCGACAGAGCGAGACTCTGTCTCACCAAAAGAAAAAAAAAAAAAAGAAGTTAAAGAAGACCCAATTAATTGAAAGATATTTTATAGCCATAGAATAAAAAACTTTTATGTTGTCAAATTCCAAATCTTCCCCCAAATTGATCTACTGACTCAATGCGATTCCAATAAAGGTGATTCCAATAAAGATCCAGAATGTACTTTTGGTGGGAGTTTATAAGTTGATTCTAAATTTTTACATGAAAATGCAAATGGCCAAGAAAAGGCAAAGTAATATCAAAGAACAATAAACATGAAGGACATACCCAATAAGATATTGAGAGCTGTTATAAATCTATATTAATGAACACAGTGTGATATTGAGATAAAAAGGGAAACATAAATCAGTAGAACAGAAAAGAATCCAGGGATAGTTTCTGAAACATATGGTCATCTGATTTATGACAAAACTGACACGGCAGTGAAGGCAAAGGTGGCCTTTTTAATAAATGGTATTGTGCCAACTGATGTCAATGGCAAGAAAATGTGTCTTGTTCCTTACATCATATTATATACAGAAATAACTAAAAGTGGATCATAGACCTAAATGTGAAAGGTAAGACAATAGAGGTTTAAAAACACATAGGAGGATAGCTTCATGATCTTAGAGTAGGCAAAGATTTCTTAAATAGGATATGAGCAGAACTAGCCTTAAAAGAAAAATAAGTTATAGTACATTAGACTCAGAAATAAAACATACTGACAAGGGAGTGAAAAGTGTAGGGGTGTGTGTGTGTGTGTGTGTGTTGGGGGGGTGTCCAACACATACTTTTCCAACTCAATCAGAAAAACACAATCAACTCAATACAACGATGAACAAAAGTTTGAATAGGCTCTTCACAAAAGAAGAGACTCAAATGGTTAATAAAATATAAAAATAAAATACTCTATTTTATTAGTCATCTGAAAAAAATGGAAATTAAACCACAATGCAATCCCACTATTTCCCCATTACAAAAAATCAGTGAAAAAGAAAAGAGATACAAATGGTTGGTAATGTGGATCATCAGAATTCTCCATACAATGCTAAAAATTTCTTTGGCAGTATCAACTACAAGTTGAATATATATACCATATGACTCATTAAGCCCACACTTAAATTTATACCCAAATAATTAGATGCATATTTTCATCAAAAGACAGGTACAATACTGTTCATAGCAGCCCTATTTATAATGGTCCCCCACTAGAAACTATCCAAATGCCCACTGAGATTTCAGGGAATAAATGATTCCAATGGATAAATAATATTCACACAATGGAATACTGTCTTAGTGCATGTGGGCCTCTTTAACCAAATGCTATAAACTTGATAGCTTATGAATAAAACAAAGTTATTTGTTAGAGTTCTGGGGACTGAGAAGTTCAAGATCAAGGCACTGGCAGATTCTGTGTCTGGTGAGGCCTGTCTCCTGGTTCACAGATGGTGCCTTCTCCCTGTGTCCTCACATGGTGGGAAGGGCAAACATCCCATTCATATCACATTTTTAAGAGGACAAACTAGTCAATGATGTGTGATAATAAGAATAGTGAACGATCCGTAGGAAGGGTGATGAGTCAAAGAGCAAAAGGAGACACCAGGAGACTTCTGGGATGTGCATAATATTCTCTTTCAAGTTTAGCTGTTGCGGGAAGTCAGGAACCTGGAAGGGAGGGACCGGCTGAAGCCATGGCAGAAGAACATAAATTGTGAAGATTTCACAGACATTTATTAGTTCCCCAAATTAATACTTTTATAATTTCTTACGCCTGTCTTTACTGCAATCTCTGAACATAAATTGTGAAGATTTCATGGACACTTATCACTTCGCCAATCAATATCCTTGTGATTTCCTATGCCTGTCTTTACTTTAATCTCTTAATCCCATTATCTTTGTAAACTGAGGAGGATGTATGTTGCCTCAGGACCATGTGATGATTGTGTTAACTGCACAAATTGTTTGTAGAGCATGTGTGTTTGAACAATATGAAATCTGGGCACCTTGAAAAAAGAACACGATAACAGCAATGTTCAGGGAGCAAGAGAGATAACCTTAAACTCTGACTGCCAGTGAGCCAGGTGGAACAGAGCCATATTTCTCTTCTTTCAAAAGCAAATGGGAGAAATATCGCTGAATTCTTTTTCTCAGCAAGGAACATCCCTGAGAAAGAGAATGCGTCCCTGAGGGTAGGCCTCTGAAATGGCCGCTTCGGGGGGTGGCCGTCTTTTACAGTCGAAGCTGTAGGGATGAAATAAGCCGCAGTCTCCCGTAGCACTCCCAGTCTTATTAGGACAAGGAAATTCCTGCCTAATAAATTTTGGTCAGACTGGTTGTCTGCTCTCAAACCCTGTCTCCTGATAAGATGTTATCAATGAAATTGTGTGCCCGAAACTTCATTAGCAATTTTAATTTTGCCCCCAGTCCCATGGTCCTGTGATCTCGCCCTGCCTCCATTTGCCTTGTGATATTCTGTTACCTTGTGAAGCTCGTGATCTCTGTGACCCACACCCTATTCATACACTCCCTCCCCTTTTGAAAATCACTAATAAAAACTTGCTGGTTTTACGGCTCAGGGGCCATCATGGAACCTGCTGACATGTGATGTCTCCCCTGGACACCCAGCTTTAAAATTTCTCTCTTTTGTACTCTGTCCTTTTATTTCTCAGACCGGCTGACCCTTAGGGAACATAGAAAAGAACCTACATGAAATATTGGGGGTGAACTTCGCCCGATATCTGGCTGAATTTCGCAGGATATCTGGCTGAATTTCCCCCGATAATTAGCTTTTAAAAATTTCTCTTTGTCTAGGTGACAGTTTCTTGATTATGACCCCTCTGTAATCAAGACTTACTATTATGATTTGTTCACTTATCTTTATATATGTTAAATGTGGATAAAAATTAAAAGAAAAAAACAGAAGAGGTAACATGGCTGTTGTCAAATGTAAATGGACAATTAGTTTCAAGATGAAACATATTCAAAATAAAATTTTCCATGTAAAAAACATGTTTGGCCTGAATGTAAAATTTTATTGAAGACTAAAAAGAAATGTTATAAATAAAAACAGATATATCTACATGGATGGTAATTATAATGTCATAAATATCCCAATTCTCCCTAAATAAATCTGCAAATTGAATGTGGTTATAGTTAAAATTCCAAAAAGATCTTTCATGAACTTTGACATGCAGATTCTAAACTTCCTATGGAAACTGAAAATTAAATAATGACTAAGATGATATTGTAAAGGGAAAAAAAAATAGATGGAAGAGGCCACTGTAATAAGAAGGAAAGGGGAGGCACAAGAGAAAGAGTATGAATTTATATGAGTAATATTTTTATTTTAATATAATTGTGTAATATATAAATAAGTATTTCACCAGTAAGTAATTATAAATATTAACGAAATGTCAATATTTTAACCTGGATGGTACAGGTGCAGGAATAGGAAATAAATCAAGGGAACATAACATGGAAAAAAGAAACAACCCCCTCATGTATATGAGAGTTTGGCACATAATGGAAGTAGGTTTTTATAAAACTGGTGATGGTGCTGGGACCATTAATTGGCTGTCCATATGGAAAAAGACAAAATTAGAACGTTTCCTCTGCCTATATGCAAAAATTAATTTCAGCTAGATAAAATACTTAAATGTGAGCAGTAATCCTCTAAAATGTTTAGAAAAATGTATAGAAGAAAAAAAACCTTATTGTGTTTGGTTAGGAACAATTTCTTAGAGCACAAAAGAAACATAATACGTAATGAAGAAAAATCACATATTTTAACACATATTAAGTAAAACTAGCAAAAAATAATACATACTCCCGTGTCTAAAAGTTGATTTTTTAAAAAAACCTGTTTTATTAACAAATTCCCCTTAATTCTCTCTCTCTCTCACACACACACACACACACACACACACACACACACACACATATATATATATAATTCTAAGCCATTGATTCACAGAGAATAAAATATGAATCAGGAATGCTATCCATTCAAATAAAAGCAAAACAAAACAACAGCAAAAATCTTTTTTCCATAAATAAAAAAAAACCACAAAAATGAAAAGACAAGTCACAAACTGGATGAAAATATTACAATCCCTGGAACAAAGGCCTAAGTTCTCAAGATACAGAATGAACTTCTACAAATCAATAAGAAAAAAAAGAACAGAAAGAGAAGCAACGAATAGAAAAAATGGACAAAGCATATTAATAAGTGACTCACAGTGGAAGAAACACAAATAAATAAAATATGAGGGGTTGAGCTCAACCTCACTAATCAGAAAATGAAGGTAAAAGCAACCATGAGATTATATCACTTCCAGATTGTCAAAGGGCAACTACATGGATATCACCAAGTTACGATGAGGAAGTAGCTCAGCAATTCTGCTTCTCAATTGCTGACATAGAGAACTTTTATACAAGGCAAAGGACAGAAAGGTACTGTCTCTCAGTAAAGAAAATGGATCTGTAAACTGTGATCATCTATGCAATGAGCATATACAGCCATTAGAATGAATAAACTGAGTTCACTTTTATCAACCTGAAAATCTCAAGCGCAACATGTTGAGTGAACAAGAGGAGGTGGAAAATGATTGATGACCACTGAACAATCATCAGAGACCAGATTGTCAGCTACAATTTAGGTTGGATTGCTAAAGAAACTATGTGTTGTTTGTGGACCCACTTACGTCTAGCAAAGGTAGAAAAAGAAGTATATAGGATGCTATTTATCAACTTCACAGTGATTCTTTTCTCTAAGATGTTAAGGATGATGAAATGGAAATGGTGATTTAATTGTATTTTAACAGCTTAAATAAAAATTACTTAAGATTGGTGATTGCTGAGTACATAGGTGTCTGTCATAATATTTTCTAAATGTTTTTATGTGTTTGAAATGTTTATAAATAAAATGTAAACAATTTTAATATAAAATATAGTAATAGCTTGGAAAAAATCTTCTGGCATGAGTTAAAAATGTAAGTATTTACCACTGCATGAGCTCTGGCTGAAGAAAAGGTCCAAGTATAAATTTTAAATAGACTTTTGAATCTTAACCTGTACTAAGTCTTTTTCATGTTAGCCACCCAGAAACTAGCCATGCCAAGTGATCTTCTTCAGAGAGTATGAGATATTGACAGCTCTTTTCAAATATCAAGGCTGCCTGAATTTCTATGTCATCTCTCACCACCACAGGATTTAACTCTAAGATGCACCAATAGATTTGCAAAATTTGAGCAGTTTCCTTTTTCTTCATGGAGCGAACTAATCCTGAGCATGCTATTTCATCAAGAGAAGTGTATGGTCACCAGGAGATCCCAATTGCCTTTTGCATTTTTCTTCATATATTCAGTCATAGTGTCCCAGGGTTTCTCACTCTATACCACATCTGGAATTAATCTATTACTCCCAACCCTGCTATCTGCCTTGGATTGAGCCACCATCACTTTCTGTCTGGTTTATCGCCACAGGCCTTTAAGTCACCTCCCTGTCTCTAGCCTCTTTCTGTTCATGTTCCACATTGATATCCCACTGACCCTTCAAATCATTTGTTTAACATCTGTCTTACAAGTGCTGCAAGGGCAGGAATCATGCCTGTTTTGAACACCACTGTGTTCCCAAAGCAATGTCTGCCATAGAGCAGGGGTTGTCTGTGTATTTTTTGGGATATGAATAAACAAATGAACATTTCCCAAAGTACAAACATGAGTTTGCTTCCTTTCCAGTTAAAACTTTTCTATGGTGACTTAAAGGGCAACATCCTCACTCCTTAGCATGGCATTTTAGACTCTTAATGTCATAGCCGCTCCTTACCTCTCTTCCTCTCCACTTCATTTCTTATACTTCTATCCCAGCCCTCTAAGTCCCAAGCCACAGTGAACTATTCATTCAAGAAATATGCCCTGCTTGTGTCTCCTGGCCTTGATACATATTGTAGCACTTCTCAGAACACCATACTTTGTTTTCCTCAATATAAATCTTAATTTTTCTCATACTGTACCTCCCATTCTTAACTTTCCACTAGCCCTCAATGATAGGGCTGCTTCTGTCTTCCAGGAGCTCCCTGTACTTAGAGCTTCCTGCCCTGAGAGCTACCTGTTGCAGTAATTATCTCATTGCACTGAAATTACTTTATTGATTTATTCCCATAGATTTTAAGTTTTTGAAGTCAGATACTCTGTTTCATTCAATATTGTGCCCCCAATATGTGAAAAATTCTAAATAAACATTTGCTCAACGAATAAATTGAATAAAACAAAAGTATGTATTAAAGACTCCATTGTCCTTTTTCTATGTCCCAACCATCTTGCAATAACTCTTAAACATTGTTTAATATTCTTATTTGAAATCATCCACTATTGTAATTATATGCCAGATGTAAAAGCCATACAGATTTTTAAATTAGTGAGGGGAGAAAGATTTTATTTTAAGGACTGTGTTGATCTGTCAGAAACTCCTGATTTCAGTGAGGGAAAAACAGGGGCACAATACAGCATCGGGCTCAGGTTCCCGGTCTTCTCTTGCTACTGTGCACATCACTCTAATTTCTCCCACTTGAAGCTCTCTCACAGGACTGAAGTTGCAGATGGTCTTGGTTACTGTTGCTAGGCAAAGCCTTCTGGGATGGAACCACCTGCCCTAATTAATAGACAAATACTTCTGAATGTGGGTCATTGGGGCTTGCCGACACCCACATCCCTGAGAATAGATTTATATGGCTGTGCTATCCCTCTCAGAGCCAGCCTATTCATTTCCCATGGCTTGTTAAATAGGTTCCCATCTGTCAGAGGCTTTCCTGTGGAGCTGGTATATTTCATTCTGAAACCCCATGGAGATAAGAAATCTAGGAGAGATTCTTTTCCATACACACCTAGCTGCTCTGCTTTTTTCTTTTTCAGTGGATACAGAGCCAACTAGTGGTAGGTGGACAGCATCAGGGGTCTAAAGAAACAGGCTTCTGCTTCTCTGCACATTTATTCCACTGAGTGCATGAAGGCTAATTGTATTGACATCCACTTTCTTTTTTTATTATTATACTTTAAGTTTTAGGGTACATGTTCAACAAAAAACCAAACACCACATGTTCTCACTCATAGGTGGGAATTGAACAATGAGAACACATGGACACAGTAAGGGGAACATCACACACCAGGGCCTGTTGTGGGGTGGGGGGAGGGGGGAGGGATAGCATTAGGAGATATACCTAATGTTAAATGACTAGTTAATGGGTGCAGCACACCAACATGGCACATGTATACGTATGTATTGACATCCACTTTCTATGGGTTGGCTCCATATGTGGAAGAGTTAGATTTCCGGAGAGAGAAACTTAAACCCTACATATCCTTCGAGGCTTGGTTCAGCTATCACACCTCTTCCACTCAGGAGTGCCTCCTCCGTACCCCATCACTGCATTACCATGTTGAATTCAAATATTCTTTTTGCAAGTCTTTTTCCCCACCTGGATAGTTCGTTTCTCAAAGCCAAGAACCAAATTCTGTTCTTCCCTACAACTCAGGGCCTAACACAATGTATATACTCAATAATGTTGGTTGAACAGAACTGAACCATGGACAAAAAGCCAAGAATCAAGAATCAAGGCCCATAAGTGCACCCTTGATTCCGAAAAATCCAGGTAAATCTAACCCCAAACCACAGTTTGTCATGCAGGCTTCCAGCTGCCAGTGGCTCAGTTTTGCACGTTAAGGGTTCACTGGTTTGGAAGGGTTGTTTATGATAACTTATCTCCATTTCCTCTCTCTTCAGTCACTCCTTAACCCATTCCCTCTGGCTTTTGCTGTGATCACACTACTGAAACAGCTCCAAAGGTCAGCAATAGCATGCATGTTGCTCAATTTCAAAGTATTTCTCTGTTCTCAGCTTATTGTACGTATCAGCAGCTATCAGGATTGCTGATTACAACATCTTCAAACATTTTCTTTCTGCCTTAGTTGACAAAATGACCTCCTTGATTTCCTCCTACCTTTATGATTATCCATTCTGTGTCTTCATTTTCAGACCCCTTATTTCCTATTTGGCCATTAAATATTGGCATTATCCCAGGCCCAGCCACAGGCCCTCTTCTCTGCTCACTCTTAACCTTTGACTCTGTGATCTCATGTGTGCTTATGAATTACCACCAAGGAACAGATGATTTACCAATGTTTCTCTCCTGTCCAGAGCTCTTCTCTGAAACCTAGACTCAACTTTCCAGCTGCCTAATTGAAATTTCTATATGAATGTGACAAAGACACCACAAATAAAATGTAAACTGATGATCTTGACTTCACCTCCAAATTTGTTATTCTTATAGGTTTCCCACACAGAAACATCTTAGAGATTATTTATACTGGTGCTGCTTGGGTAATATGCTCATTTCTATAACAGCTACTGTGGCTGGGATCAGCAGAGGGTAATGAGGACTAAATCAAGTGATGGGCCAAGTCTGGGTCAGGTTCCCAAACCAGGAAGTAGAAGGTGCTCAACCCCAATTTAATTTCAAAGACTAATAATAGAGGAGAGGTGGTTTCCCAAGGAGATGCTGAAGGAGATGCTGGGCAGACTGAAAGCCTGAGACCACTACAGTGACCTCCCGGCCTCATGTCTTATACTTCCACTCTCAGATCCAGCCACACTGTTCTTCCACTTGTTTTTCATAAGTGCCCCATCAAATATGTACATTCTGCCCCTCTCAGGCCCTTACTTCATTTCTATCCACACAAGAACTTCCGTATCTCCCAGGGCTGCTATATGTAAACACCCATTTCCCTTAATGACTCTGCCTGCCTACTGGCAACTTCCCCATCCAGCAGCCTTAGGGGCCAATAGGCTCTCTAACTGGGAAATAAAACATGGCTTCCAGCAGCTAAGAGAGGCAGAATGGTCCTTTGTTTCATGTACCTTTCCAGTTCATTGGAGAAAAAAATAATTAAGGAGAAAGACAACTACATTTGTGAAAGCTTTTTCTTTTTTTTTATCCATCCCTGAATGTCTGACAAGCAATGTACCACTTACGCAAGTGCAGTTTCTATTTACCGAACATGTTACCAGTGGACCAAAAATTTTAGGCGATGAGAGTACTGCATTGGTATACTAAACCAGGCATGGAAATACGGGGGTTAGGGGTAATCTTTCCCCCATACCAAACCAGAAGAAATACAGAAGAATGCAAGTCTGTATAGGAAAGCTCTCCCTCCAAAAAGTTATCCAGAGTCATTCAAAACTAGCTCTTGTAAAGAGAAAGCACATACCATTAAGCGCATTGGAAAGAGCAAGCATTTGATCCCTGATTCACTCCACTTAATAGCTTTTGTCACTTAACTACTTTGAACCCTTTTTCCTTATGTTTAAAATATGTAGAATAACATCTGTATTGCAAGATTATCAAAAGGATTAGGGATAATGTAGCTAAAGTACCTAGCACTATTTATACTTAGATTAATTATAGTAGCACTTTCTACTATAAGAGATAAACCCTGAAATCTCAGTAGCTTAATGTCATAACAACTTAGTCTCTGCTCTAGTCAAGTCCGGTGCGTAATCTTTTATGCAGTGATTCAGGGACCAACTTCCTTCCATCTTTGACACCTCCCTCCTCAGGGCCTTAGAGTTCCTCTAGACTGTGGCTGAGGAAAGAGAGCAAGGACCACACATTGGATGCCTTTACGAGTGAGGCCTGGAAGTGGACACCTCAATCCTGCCAATAGTCCAGGACTGCACTCAGTCACATGGCCACATCTAACTATGAGTGTAGCTGAGATAGGTAATCTAGCTGTGTGCCCAGGTTTGAGAAGGACTGGCCTCCCTGCCCTTAGCACAGAGTAGATGTCTGAACAAGGTAGGTTGTTATTATTCTGTGTAATCCTAGTTGCTTCCTGTGTACTACTCCTCTGTGGTCTTCAGTAGCCTTGGGGAACACAAAGTTCTCTAGCAGGAAATCAATGCTCCATGCCCCAGCCCGTGAGGGAGCTTGCTCCTACGATACCCTCTACATCTACTTGGAAAACTCCTAATTGTCCTTTAAAGTTCAGCTCAAAACTCACCTCTTCAGGTACGTCTCCTCTGACCAACTCTGCCATCCTTCGGTGAGACACTCAATCCTCCATCGTGCAATTGCGGTGTCTTTCTTAATTTCTGGTTCAGCTTGGTTACCCTATTGTAGGGTTTCTAAATCTTAGCACTACTGACATTTTGGACCAAATAATTCTGTTGTAGGAAACTGGCTTGTGAATTCTAAGGTGTTTAGCAGCAGCTGTAGCTTCTACACAGTAGATGTTCTTAGTAACCAACCCTACCTTCCCAGTCATGAAGATAAAAAAACCGTGTCCAGACATTGCCAAATGTCTCCTGTGCGGGGATGCAAAATCAACCCCATGGAGGGACCACTGCACTGTGATAGTTATTTATGTATCTGTTCCACTAGATAGTGAGCTTCATGAGAGCAGGACCCAGTCTTATTCATCTCTATAAACTAACTATAGCGCCAGATACATGTAGATTATCTGTCTATGCTTTTGTTTGTTTAGTTTTGTTTAGTTTTTCATTTATAAAGGAAATAAGAAATAAAGAAGAACAAGAAAACCAATAGGGACTATTGAAAAGGAACAACCTGGGCAGAATATTTTCATCCTATTGCAGAGGTAAGGAGTCAATATACAGTATTAAAGGATTAAAGTAAGAGCCTTTAAATTGGGTTGAGGAGCCCAGCGGAATCTTCTTAATGCTTGGTATATAACTGGTCCTTTGTTCTGGGATATGCACTAGAACCCAGTCATCTTTAAGCCTTTCAATCTGCCTTTCTCGGAAGCTCTCCCCAGATTTGCATTTGTGACTTTAAAAGGGAGGCAATGAGATGAGGTGGAGGAAAATATACTCATCCCAAACATGTCTCTAAATGAGCCTTGCATTTCAAACTTCTGCTACTGGAAGAGTATTATTTAACTTGAGCTGTATTACTCCACCTGCTAGTAAAGTCCAAGGAAAGTCACCATTAACAGCAAATGCTACCAATGTCGATGGGGATGGTGAATGAACAAGTGTCCTTGGACTCAGATACCTTGGGTCTAAGCTCTCCTGCAGGTGGCCAGGCCAGGGCATCAGTCAAACTGGACAATGGAAAGGTTTCCAGAGTTCTTGGACAAGATTACTTGCAGAAGGTAAAAGTAAATACAACTCAGAGTCCTTAGTCAATGACATGGAAACTGTGTGATGAGAAATCATTTTCTATGAATATCTCATGTTTACACAGGGTCTCGGTCCTCTGAGCAAAGGCATTTATAGCCAAATTAAGAATACTTATATAAGGATACATTCCAGGATAGTAAAGCATAGAGAAATCTTCCTTCCTAGAGATAGCCTGGGATAATGAAGATACAGAACTCTCATTCCTTTTCCCAGGAAATGTTTGCTTATATTCCAGAATAAAAATGGAATATCTCTTCCCTCTCCTTTCCTCTCTCTCTCTCTCTCTCTCTCCCTCTTTCTCTGTCTCTCTCTCTCTCCCTCTCAAAATGAGAAGCCCACCAACAGCTTTAATCTTGGGTTCCTCTCCTGTAATGTATCCCATTGCATGTACAGGTCCCATCAAGCCCTCACTGGATCCAAGGATTGGACACTGGCAACTGATGCAATATGCTCCTTTGGCGACTGCTTTTGTTATGAGTAATAAACTGTCTTTGTCTCTAACCCAGGGGTCTATGTTATCTAGCAAGTAGGTTAAAAACCTCACACCCTTTACAGTGTCTGACAACATTGTGTTCTAAATATCTAATCTCTTCAAACATTCACTCATTCTACAGATTATTTTTAAAGGGTACCTATTATATTTCAGAGATTCCTGTAAGCCCTTAAGGCACAGCAATTAATATGATATAAGAGGCCCCTGATTTGCTGGAACTTACATTGCAGAAAATTAGTAAACAATAAACGACTATACATGTTAAAAAGTTAATTTCATATGGTTTAATTTTTATAACTCCCATAAAGAAAATCTAGAAAATGCAATGTGGTAGATAGTGACTTGATGTGGGCCAAGAGCCAGTTGATCACTAGGTTGTCAGGTCAGGCTTCCCTACGTTGCTGAAATTTGAAGTGCCTAAAGGAAATGAGGCATGCAAAGGTCAGGGTAAAGGCATCCCAAGCATAAAAAGCAAGCACAAAGACCCTTACACCAGAGCAAATGCAAAATGTTTGAAGAATTTAAAATAAGAGACCAGTGTAGCTGGAGGACAGTGAACAAGGCAGAAGGTGGTATAAGATAAGGTGGGAAGGGGAATCAAAGACTGGGTGGATCATGCTTGCGGGCTATAGCAGTAATGTTATGTTGTGTTGTTATGAGTATGTTATGCTATGTTACGTTACATTACGTTATATTATGTTATGTTAAACTATGTTATATGCAATGGGAAGGGTATGGAGATGTTTGTGTCCAGAAATTTGGAGTAAAACTAAATTGGAGAAAAATGCCAAAGGTGTAAAGTTAGACTGAATAAAATTTGCGAGCAAATCAGCAGGGTCTAAGACTATTCCCATCAGCTGTAATGCAATGTTCCCACATTGACTAGATTCACTGTGGAGCAATGATTGAGGATATGGCTGGCTTGAAGCAACATGATCAGGGCAGACACCTTGCAGTGATGAGTTCTTTCTGTATAAATGAAAGCAATCTAAGAAGGCCCTTTTTTCATCTCTGTGTAGCTCTGTCTGATTCTACTCAACTCACGGTTTTCATGGTTTAATCAAGGAAAATAAAATCCAAAAAGGTTGAGTTATGCAAATTTTCACATTTGAATAGAACATAAGATTGTTTGACTTCTCGATTGTGATGTCTTGTATTATCAGAGAGATGGTGGCATGCTTTACAGAATGCTACCAGTAAGAACAACAAGAAGAGGAAGTAGTTCTGGTCATCGCATCAGAAAATCTGACTTTTAAAATCTCTGTTCTTAGTCTGGTGAACTGTGTGATCTTAGAAAAAAGCCTCAGAAGCAAATCTCAGTTTTCTCTACTATAAGATAGGAATATTAATAAATCCATGGGAAAGTGTTGAAAGAAATAAGTCAAATGAGATAACAAATATAAAACTGAAGCTCAATAAATGCTATATTATTTCCTTCAGTTCAAGGAATAGAATTCTTTGACTGTTTGCCTCTGAAATATTTGCTACCTCCTGAAACTAAATCCATCCTTTGGGTAACATGCCTCCTCAGCATTTATTATTTAAGAAATTTAATAATAAAGTTCTTCTTAATGTTGAAGTTCTTAGAGAAAGTGAAATTCAAACAAGCAAAGAGGGAAAAAGTCTGTCTTTCCCTAGCTTGGCTTTACTTATTTTAGAATAATTTATAATGACACCAGACAAAGGCCCATTCGTCTCTGTCCCTGGTGCCATGAACACATGATCAGAATGCCTGCATTTGCTACTAGAGTGATGACCGGAGGTTAAGTTTAGGCTATCTAGTTCCATAGATTCTCAGGGTTCACCTCTGAGCAGTATTGCATTCTTTAAAAAATAGATTCAAAAATCTGAGCTTCACTTATATAGCTAATCATGTTTTTTAAAAGTTGATACTTATTTAAGCAATAGCTAAGAATTAAGCATTAAACACAACTGAATACCTCATCATTAATTCTTAAACATGATTACTATTTAATAACACATAAATTTCCTACTTAAATTTTAATCTAATATTTTACTAAATTACCCTAAATCTTTATGTCAGAGCTATAGTTCCTCCCTCTATTCCAGCCAGCCAGATTTTTAGAAATGGCGTCTGTAGGTTGTCTTGTTAATTCTCAGAGCAGAGGGGTGTGTGTGTGTGTGTGTAGATTATTTTGTCAAGATGGGATTCTTTCAAAAAAATTATTTCTTGTTTCCCTGTTTCCTTCATTGTGGACAGCAGAAATTTGATTAGGCCCAAATGACCAGATTTTTGAGGGTTAGAACTGTGTCTTTTTGACAGTATCTCTAGTACATAACCATAATCCAGCATTTAGTTGACACTCAATCAATATATGACAAAAGAATAAATGGACAAATGGATGAATAAGGGAATCTTGGCACTGAAATAAAAATCACTATGACTTGTTCCCTTATAATAGAAAAAAAATTATATGACCATCTATCTTCATATAAATTTTGTATTTCTTGTAATTGATGGGCCTAGGATGAAATAAAAACGTTGAATGGAATAATTTCATTATCAATGAGTTTAATGATAACATCAATTATTAACTTGTCTGAGACATAGGGTTAGACCTACAAAATCCTCCATTTATACCATAAGTAGTTTTATAAAGGGACCAGTGTCTGGTCGGAAGGAAACAAATTCTAAATAACATGTATAAAATTACAAGAAAAAATAGTGGAGTGACATTGTAAATTGCATTAAACATAAAATGGTCTTGATCTAGGAGGCGGTACACCCTGGGAGACAGAGTATGAACTCTGGAGCTGCACCACTTGGGTTTGACTCTTGGCTCCACTCATTTGCTGGCTGTGTGACCCTGGACAAATTACTAAACCTCCTTCTACTTTATCTGTAAAATGGGACACCACTGTAACCTATCTCACTGGGCTGTTGTGAGAGTTGAGTGAATGCAGGTGAATTATTAAAAACATGCAGGGCACATAGTAAACACTCAGTAAATATTGGTTATGATTATTATTACTATTATTAACTATTAGAAATTACAACCAGTCTGGGTGATGGAGAGCTAAAGGTACTTTAAGGAAAATAGTTGCTGACTAAACTAGGCTCAGCTCTCCCTCTTTTAGACAACACCTAGAGACTTTTTCCAGCTCAGTCTACTGAAACCACCATATGTCATGTCAGGTCCCTATAATCCTGTTGTGTTTTATCTGTCCTTTGGTTATAAATTATTTCCCAGCCATAGGTATCTTTCTTCTTCAGATTCATACTCCAATAAGATAACATCTACACTGCCATGACAGAGATGTTTTTAAAAATTTTTAAAAAAAAGCCGAAGTCTAGTCATTCTTCACCTCAAGATACTTCAACAGAACACTGAGACTTTCGCCTGTACTTGGAATTTTTTTGTCACGTCTCTCCCCCTTAAAGCTCCAGGGAATCGTAAATGCTGTCCCTACCATGTGGAATGTGTTCCCCATCTGTTTCACTTAGCAATGGCTGCTCCTCTGCAAATGCTCCTTTCTCCACGATGTGTCTTCTGAAACACCAGCTGCAAAGTGGGTGCCCTTTCCTGCCCTCGCTATAATACACTAAATGTCTCATAGCAGAGCCTGTCAGTTGGGATTGTAGTTGTCTGTTGACTTGCTTCCTTTCCTCACTAGACTGTGAGGGCCTTAACAAACATATCTGGGTCTAGCATAGCTCTGTGTCTCCAGTGACTGTCATGGTTGCACTTATTAGGAGCACAATGATTATTTGTTGGAAAAAGCATATTTTTTGCAAGGGGAAGAAGGCAAAGAAACTGAACATAGGGAATTTCCACTGTCATAAAAATACAAGTCAGGGGCTTCTCTGCTTCCGGGTCTGTATCATCTTCAAATATGGAAAACCACACATGTAATCCTTATGGATCTGCAATGTGACATGGTGTAGAAGCAGTTAAGTTTCATTCAAGTCATAAACTATACCTAATGGATTTTTCCAAGCTTCTTCTCCCTCTGGTTTCTCCTAGGAACACAAGCCTACTCTGCCTATCTATCCACCTGCAATGGAAATGCCTGTCCTGGAGAATCAAAGCATCCTAGAGCAATGGATTACAGAGGATCAATATTCTTTATCATTGTCTAGAAATAGGTTCATTAGAGTAGAGATTAATCAAGTGATTTCTGTATAATCTACATTCACCCAGCTCAAAGGTGGCCCAAATTAACATGAAAATTCATTTTAATGTTCACGCCCAAGATGTTTAAAAATTTCGTAGTTATAAAATAAGTTGGACATGTTGTTTCCTAATAACTTTAGCATCTGAGGCAAAGTGGGCTTAAGAAATTTACATTAGAAAGGGAAGTCTTTGCAGAGTTGATAATCAAATCTATAACACTATTATTAATATTCTTGTAGATCATAAACAACGCCTTTATTATACTTTTACCCTACAAATAACTTTAAAATGTAAGAGTATACAGGATTTATAATAGGCACCCATGTGCCCATCTTATAGATATAACCTATGTTAATATTTGATATATTTGTCTCAGATCCTTTTAAAATACATAAACACACTTCCATCCACCCACACAGAGCATTAGACACACTCAGTTAATTACTTTGGCCAATACCCCTATCATATTCCTATCTTGCCTTCCTAATAACCCCATCTGACAACAGCATGCTTCTATACTGTCATTGTTTTTAAACTTTCACTACATATCACTGTACCCATATACAGCTTACATTGTATCACCCGGTACTTAGCTGTACTGCTACATGTATTATCTTGCTTCTTTCTCCTTTATCTCCCCTGCCCTTCAATCCCTGGTTTGTTTCTGGAAGCGTGTATATTGTAAGGTTCAATGGTTCCAAGCAGTGGCAGCTGGACTTTCTAATCCAACCCACTTTCTCCTCAGAGAGATCAGAAAGGTAAAGCAACTTCTGTTTTTCCTTCTGTCTTTCCCCATTAGAAAAGTTCTTTCACTTCTACCCAACCTGTCTGTCTTCGCTTTCCCTACCCAATTATCTCAGGAAAATACTTGTCCCTCACTTCATTTCATTTTTCCATCCCACAATCCTATTCTATCTCTGTATCTCCAGATATTCACAATAGAATTCCTGTTCCATCACTTGGATGCAGTCTCTTTACAATAAGCTCAACTATTCCATAAATATTCCACAAGAAGGAACACCAAAGATAGGTGGAAAATCATGCACTGTTTGAGTTAGAATCAAAGAATTCCAAAGCTACAGTAAAACTCTGGTTTCACAGCTAAAGAAACCAATTGTAACTTGTCTGAAGTCACAGGTTCATCAGCAACAGTGCCAGGGCTAGGACACAGTCCTTCTGATTCCCATTTCCTATGATTGACAAGTGACAATAATCTTGGCCAATAAAGGTGAGAGCTGTGTTAGGCATTCAACTCCTTCAACATAAAAGGAACATCCTAGATTTAAAGTCAAATAATGACAAGCAATCGGGAACCACAATCTCTGAAGTCCTATAGCTCTCCCAGATATTCATAAAAGAATATCTGCCCCATCATCTATCTCCCCATCATCTTTAAATATGTGTTTTTTTCACTAAAGTGAGTATAATTTTTGTAATTTTTTTCCTAATTTGTTGAGAACAAATTATCAACATTTTCTACTGCAATTCATTGAGGATACAATATTCTCAGCCACTTTGTGAGTTAAATAGTTCTTTAGTGATACATCCTGAGAACCCACAAATAATCTAAAACATTTTCTCTATTGGAAAATATTTGAGAGATTGCCTACATGAGCCATCTTCTGAGTGTCCATGTGCATAAGTCATAAATCTTACAGTCAATACATATCTATAGTATTATTGTTATAGTTTTTGTTGTTGTTGTCATCCTTGTGGTCAGTGGAGACTAGGTAAAGGAGTGTGATTTGGAACAAAAATGCACTTACAGTAATGCAACTCCAAACATCACGTGATCAGCAACTGCTCACATCTTCTGCTATTCAACCTAGCTTTTCATTTACACAAAATTAAGCAACCTGAATTGTGTGTGATAGACATTGGACTCTATTTTAGCACAGTGCTATGGTGTTTTCCCTTCTCTGTTTCTGTCTCTACCCACCCGAGGCAAAGCAATATTTTCTCTTCTCTCTTCACTTCCACACTTCTCTTGGAGGTGGCCTCTTTACAACACACTCAACTATCCCACAAATATTCCACAAGGAGGAACACCAAGGATAGGTAGAAAATAATGCATTCTTTGAGTTGGAATCAAAGAATTCAGAAGCTACAGTAAAGCCCTCTGTTTTCAGAGATAAAGAAACCAAATGTAACTTCTCTAAAGTCACAGGGTTTATCAGCACTAGCACCAGGGCTAGGATACAGTCCTTCTGACCCCCATTTCCTATGCCTTCTCCATGGATTGGCTCCTTTGTAGAGTGGTTGAGAGCCTACCAGTCAGGGCTTCTTCCCTCAGAGCTTTATAGTAAGGAGTAATAAATTCCTGAGCCACAAAGAAAACTCCATGATTAATTTTTCACCTTCTCTTAAGCTTTCCAAAACTGCTGCCTCAAAGTCTATTGGGATATTAACATGACTCTTTACTATTTCACATTTGGATTCAACTTGTTAGGACGCTCATCTTTTGCAGGGGGCAGGGGGTATTTTTTATTTTTTTAAGTTCTGGGGTACATGTGCAGGATGTGGAGGTTTGTTACATAGGTAAACATGTGCCATGGTGGTTTACTGCACCTGTCAACCTGTCACCTAGGTATTAAGCCCAGCATGAATTAGCTCTTTTCCCTAATGCTCTCCTCCCACCAACCTCCCCCAACAGGCCCCACTGTGTGATGTTCCCCTCCTTGTGTCTATGTGTTCTCATTGTTCAGCTCCCACTTATAAGTTAGAATATGCAGTGTTTGGTTTTCTGTTCCTGTGTTAGTTTGCTGAGGATAATGGCTTCCAGCTTCATCCATGTCCCTGCAAATGACATAATCTCATTCCTTTTTATGGCTGCATAGTATTCCATGGTGTATATGTGCCACATTAACTCAAGATGGATTAAAGACTTAAACGTAAAACCCAAAACTATAAAAACCCTAGAAGAAAATCTAGGCAATACCATTCAGTACATAGGCATGGGCAAAGATTTTATGATGAAATTGCCAAAACCAATTGCAACAAAAGCAAAAATTGACAAATGTGATGTTATTAAACTAAAGCGCTTCTGCACAGCAAAAAAAGCTATCATCAGAGCAAAAACACAACCTACAGAGAATGGGAGAGAAATATTGCAATCTATCCATTTGACAAAGGTCTAATAACCAGAATCTACAAGGAACTTAAGCAAATTTACAATTAAAACACGAAACAACCCCATTAAAAAGTGCACAAATGATTATGAACAGACACTCCTCTTTTTTATATGCCAAATTTCATTGCAGTTGAGATATCAGGGAGACCAGAGTCAGATCAGCTTCTTCTGCTTCTAACTGAATGGAAGCAAATTTACCACAGAGCTGATGAAGATTCAGCTACAGTGACCCTCCCTTTCACATGCCCTTTCTGTATCCCTGTACCTACATTTGTATTCCCGCATTTTTCATACAGGCTATTCAAGTAACTTTCAGGACCTACAGAACTTAGATCTGCCTTGTCTCAGCTGCATGAATTCAGAAACACAATCACTAGCACTAGGTTTTTCACCAGTAAAATTAAATCCTTACTTTGGAGTGCAGTGGTGCAAATTAGCCATTTTTTGTATATGTCAGGTTTCTTGTTAGAGTCAGTGCTTGGCATACAGTAAGTTCTCAATGAACTTGTTATTGTATTCCTGACCTTCTAGTCTTGCCTGGAAAACAGTATATGAAAGCTAAGAGTGTCTAAGATCCATGATCAAAATTAATTCCGGAAGTAATCAGAGGCAAAAACCTGGGGTACTTGTCTAAGGAAGAGGCTCCTAAAATCCCTTTGTGTACATGTATTAGCATCAACAAGTATATTCTTGGAGAAGGCAAGGCTAGAATACTGTTTCCCTCTATGAATTGCTGAACAGATCTGTCTGTCTACACATCGCTATTGGATTAACCCTTTTAAGGGTGCTTACCAATGCATTTAGACCATGAACCAGTTCAGTTTTACTGAACTGTCCACTTCACTTTTTTGTAGACCTTACAGAAACTTAAGTTGTGGCTTTTCCTCTCTAGGGTGGGACAGAGGGCAGTTTAGGAAGACACAATTAATTTCCCAAAGTTGGTACTCCTCCAAGAACCAGCCAACGTCCTCACTTTCCTTATCTGTCAGGAAGTTATGATAATGAAGAAAAGAAAGAGCTGTCTTTCACACTGCCAAAGGAAAGAAATCTAGGTGGGAACCAAGTTATTTCTTTTTGCAGAGGGGAAAACAGGAGGCAACAGTTTCTTTACCTCTTGTGGCAGCAGCTGGCTGGCCAAGTTATCGATCATTTGGTTTTTACATAGGTCCATTTACATTCACAGGAGCAGGAAGCAAGCAGCAAAGACATCTCTCTGTTGTGTTTTTCCGTAATGCACCTCCATCCCTCACCCCTTCTGTGGTTTTTCTCTGCATTTAGAAAGTCATTGAGAAATGTTAATGGTCTAGGGGAATCTAGGGATTGGGGAATGACGAATGGGCAAGTAGGAGAATGCGGGTGTGGAGCTAATGATTTCCTACAAGTGATGATTAAACATCATTCCTCCATCTCTCAGCACCTAATTCTCCCCAAGGCTGATTTATGGAAGACACCCTAACGTACAGTTCCTGCAGTTTTATTAGCCAGGAACAATTTAGTCATGAGGTAGTCTGCCCCTGCTTCTCATTTTCTCCCAGCCCGGGAAGAAAGAAATGATAAAATGCAAAGAACAACCAGGGCCTCATTCTCTTAATACTAAAAAGACAAACTAGCATAATGCAAAGGCCACTAAAGAGGTAGTTGATCATCAGTGGGATAAAATTTATGATGGCAAAATCATTACTTCATAGAAGTCATTACCTTGTCCCAGACATAGGGGAAGGTTCCTACAGTTCCTATAAATGGAAGCCTGCTGCTGCTGTTTCAGTAAGTCTAAAAATAACCACACACCTCATTTTTCCAAATGTCAGAATGCCTGCCTTTACTCTGCTCTAGGAAAGGTGATAAGGTTACCATAAGTACCAGAAATAATGTGGGAGTGTTTGTGATTTTTAAAAATGATTACAATAAATGTTTCTATTGTTGCCAAAGAGAATTAGAATCACGTGAAGATCATCGAGAAGAATGTAGAGTCATCATCTTGTTTTCTTTCCTTAAAACAATCTACTTGCATGTTTCCTGTCAAAGATTTTAATGTTCTTCCATATTCTGTATCCAGATTCTCAATGAATGTCTAGATGTCATCTCAAATCATGACTTTCTAACAATGGCTACCTCACCAAATGTTACAAAGGGAAACTAGTTGTGTGATTTGGGGAGGAAAGCCAAAGCAAGTCAATTAACATTGATTAATTCTTAAATAACTTGATAATGTATTAATCTCTTAATTATATAAGAACATTTGGGGGCACTTCCTTGATGCCCAGCACTATGCTATGCACTTTGCCTAGCTTACCTTGTTTAAGCCTTTTCAACTTTATGAGGAAGTTTCCGTTATTACTTCTATTATACAAGTGAGAAAACAGACTAAGAGGGCAACTAAATATTTTGCACCAAATCACATGCCTATTAAGCAGAATTTTATCTAAAAAAGTCTCATGCTAGAACTCGGACTTATAACCACTATACTACTCTAATTCCCTAAATGCTTTCTCTGTTAACATTTACTTTCTACTGGCCAACTGTCTTTAAAAAGCATAAATTAATCCCATATTATTTTGGATCTCTGAACTAAACATGAATCCTGCAAGATTTTGTATTAAATACAGAGTTCGGAACTGATGGGAATACGAAGAGATCCATATTAAGAAGATACAATTTAAACTCCTTTGATTCAAAGAAATCTATATCAAGTATAATCATGCTCTCTACTCTCATGAGGTATAAGTTTAAATTCTTTTCTTTTTTTTTTCTTTTTTTTTTTTTTTTTTGACAGGGTGTCTGTCATCCAGGCTGGAGTGCCATGGTGCAATCTCCACTTACTGCAACCTCTGCCTCCCAGGCTCAAACAATCCTCCCACCTCAGCCTCCTGAGTAGCTGGGACTCCAGGCATGTACCACCATGCCCAGTTAATTTTTGTATTTTTTTGTAGAGACAGGGTTTTTTCATGTTGCCCAGGCTAGTCTCAAACTCCTGTGCTCAGGCAATCAGCTCACCTCGGCCTCCCAAAGTGCTGGGATTTTGGGTACGAGCCACCACAACTGGCCAGGTATCAGTTTAAATTCTAACAAAAGTGAGTCCTCGGCACCTGGATCAGAACAATTCAGATGGCAATTTAGTCACCCATAATATAATCCAGAGCATTCATTCAAACTTTCAACAGATGCTTATCGAGCACCTAAGTCCCAGTTACTTAGACCACAATGGTTTGCAAAAGCAGACTTGGCCTCTATTATTATGAGGTTTATCATCCAGTGAATGAAATAGATATTAATCAATTAATTACAATATAAATAACAATTTGCATGGTATGATACATGGTACTACGGAACACATATAATAGCCCAAACTACTCTAGGGGCTAGAAAATACTTCCTTGAGGAAGTCACCATCAATTAAGATAATGAGTAGATTATGAACCAGAAAGCTGTTAAGAAGTTTTCAGGCAGAAACTATGCAAAGACCTTGTAGAAGGAAGGAGCTTGGAGTGTTTAGGAAATGAAAGGAAGGCCATTGGAGATGGAGCACAAGAAACAAATAGTCTTATGGTATCACATGTGGCAGGGGAAGGCACAGGAGAGTGGACATGGTGGGCTTTGAATGCTATAGTATAGTTTCCAGATTTTACCATAGGAGAATTGGGAAGCCATGGGGATCATTGACTTGGACTCAGAAAAAATATGTAAAATGAAAAGAACTTCAAAGGCCCTGATAATTGATTGTCTTGAGATCCCCTCCATGCTTTAAATAAAGAGGAGGAATTGCTATTCTCTTTGTTAGAGATGGAGCCACAACAAACTCTACAAAGTGGAATAAAATGTATCTAGAATCACTTGTCTTACATTTTAAAATCAGAATCATTCAGAGAATCTGGGTTTTCTTGTTCTACTATGGTTAAAGAATAAAGAGCCAGCCACGGCAGGAGCACTCATAGTTCAAGGCTAGAAACTACAAATCCGCTTAGAGAGGCATAATGGGCCAGCAAAGAGGACCAGCGGGAGGAAAGAAAGGAAATTCCTAGGAACTAAAAGAACGTGGCCAAGACAACTTTCCGGAATGGAGAAAATGACAAAAAAGGGTGGAGAGACAAGACCATTTGTCATTTAAACATATCCATTTTCTTTTCTGTTTTCCAAGAACACTCCAGAGCTATGTGAATCTTGGACAAGTCACTTAACCCCACTGAGCCTTGGTTTTTCCCTCTGTAAAATCAGAGTTAATAAATCCTTCCCAATAGTGCCATTGAGAAGATCAAAAGAAATGGCAACAGAAAGTACTTTTCACTTTAGCATTTGCTCAGTAAAAATTAGGTCACTCCTCTAGTTCACAGGAGGACATTAAAGTTGATAGCTAAGAAAGTGATCCATTTCCCCAAGTGTGACAAGTAGAATACAGTGCTACCCACTCATCCTACCTGTAGCAGTGCTGTGAGGTTAAAATGAGAGAATGTAGAGAAACCTTTGACACACTCTGGCTGCTCAGATTCAGCAGTAATAGCAACATCAAGGTTACTCACTTGCCGCTAGAAATAGCAAGAAGGACCACGCTTTTTCTATGTATCTTCAGAAGTCAGCATCTAATGTTAATCATGAATAAACTTGTCTAGACATTCAGAGATGATAGGAATTTATAAATACTCAGAAAATCGTATACTGTTTTTAGTTGTAAATTCTCAGCCTAATGAACAATTTTCAAAAGCCAATATATGACAGTCTCTGGGGATCTGGGGATCTGTAGGTAAGTAATTAGTTACAAGCGGAATGAGTAGAGGATGGGGAGAAAAAAAAAAAAAAGACATGTTTATTGGATTCAAATTTGGTCAACACAACCAAACTACAGCCAGAGGGAGCTATTTGAACTGTCAATATTCTTCCTTAAAAACCTTAAGTGTCTTCCAATTATCCTATTGACAAACTCTAAGCTACTTACCATTATTTATAAGACAAGCTCTGTCTATTTTTTCCCTCTCAACAACTTTTGACTTCAATCTACAATTCGATCGGCCATACTGAACTTCACTCCCATGATGCTCCAGGTTTTACAAATGCTGCACCCTCTACTTCACACAGTGGGTCCTGGTTATAGACGCTCCACCCCAGACCCTCCTTCTCTCACCCTCAGAACTCCTCATCTTCATTTAGGAATCAGCTACTATGGGAAATCTTCCCCAGTTCCCTTATTCTAGGTTAAATTCTTTCCACACCTGCCCAGGCAACTCTGCCCTTCCCTTCTTAAAACACCCATGGCATGGAAGGGCAGCATCTCTGTCCTCTTCTTCACCTCTTACTTAGTCAGGAGCCAACAGGCAGGGCCTGTGTCTATCTTATGAACTGATGAGTCCCCAATCCCCAGCACATGGTAGTTCCTTTAGAAAGTTCATGCATGAATAAATGGACTCTAGAAAAGGGATTTGAAGATTACATAGCAAACTTCACTTGGAATCTGAAATTTTTCTGAGAAAATGGCTGTGTAGTCTTTTTCTTTTTTTGGTGGGGGCGGGGGCACTACTGGAATTTCATGGGGACTTATCTTTTTCTGTGAGCTGTTTTTGCATATTTCAAGATATTTGTTTGGCCTGGCTCCTGGCATCAAATGCTAATATTACCCATTCTTCCCTCTGGTCAGTATGACAACCTATAATTGACCCTACTATATTTCTGCATGCCCCTTGGGGAATTTGCTAACCTCAACTGAGAACCAAAAGAAGAGCATCCAAGCCATCTGGGCTCTTGGCTAAACAGCATGGGGAAATTCCAGCCTCTAGCCATCTTTTTTCATTGTCACTTTAATGGATATCTTTTAGGAACCAGCTCTTGGGGAAACAAATCCAGCTGTGCACAATCTGACTGATTGCCCTGGTAGAGTCTCCTCCCCAACACTACCTCATCCTTCCTTCTTAAGGGTGAAGCAAGATGTCCTGTGCTAGAGAGAAGTCAGGTAACAATAGTGCAAGGCTGCCTTGTCTAATAGGAAAGAATAGCTGGGAAGAACTAAAATGAAAGCACTCACTGTCTACTCTCAACAACCATGCAGTCAGGCAGGAAAGTACATGAAGGAACAGAGGCACAGGACAAGAACTCAACACATTCACAAAAGTAAGATAGAGCGGCAAGTGAGCATAGAAGTATACAGAGGGTTGTCAATCAGGGAAGAATCCTTGGAAGAGGGGGACTTTGAGGTCAACCTAAAATGAACGGTACGTTATATCTGAAAAACAGAAAAGACTCAGGAAATGGCAGTGGTGTCCATTGCTCCTTGAAGAAGATGGGCAACTTCTTGTTCCTGGCATTTTAACTTTAGCTGTGCTTTTCACCCACCACTCTAAACCTAACACAGAAAGCTTGCCTTCTCAGGACTCTGGGTGTTCCTGGTCTGTCCGCTACTCAGCTGTAATAATAACTCAAACTTCAAATGAAGTATAGAATAGAATTTCCACACTTTCCATTCTATACTGTAGAGTGTTTTCATTTTAATTTTGAGCAGGGATGGGTTGAACCAGCAGCCAAAAACATTAGGTCATCCACCCTACTTTTATTTGCCTTCCTGTTTTTTGCTCCCTCCTTTCCTTTTTCCTTTTGGTCTTTTCCATAGAGCAGACACAAGTATGAAAGTAGTATGAAAGTCCGTCACATTGTGGAAATATTTTCTCCATCTGGTCTTTCTCAGACATATATATGGATGATGCAATTTCCCATGCCATCATTTTGCAATGAAAGGTTTCTGATAAATCTCAAGTCCCACATCATATACCCCCTCCTTCTCTCCAGTTAGTAAGGCTCCAAATGTGATACGGGGAAGAAAATGAAATCGAAAGCAAAGGATGGATATGAGAGAGAAGGGATAAGGGGAGAGGAATGGGGATGAGCTACAATTGCCAGGTAAAGGACAGATTGGGTTTTCTCTTGAGCCTGGCAATGCATGCAAGCTAAAAGGTCAGTGCCTCTGAACAGGGAACACAAAAAGATAAAAGGATGGGAATAAAGAAACCACTTTATGCAGGGATATTAGTGCCATAAGCAACAATAAAGCTGCACAGCCACAATTGAACACCGGAGTGGAAGATGTCACTGAGGAGAGGCCAGGCTGATGCTTTCAGGACACGAGGAGCACTTACTCACTTGGGGTGGGTATACACATCAAAGCCCTGCAGGAATCTCTGTCAGGGATTAATGGGATCAGGAGCCCTTTGGACTCATGGACAGACACAAAAGAGTTGACATGTGTACTCTCTTCTTGCCAAGAACCCCAACCATGCACAACTCTCAATCCTTAAAAAATCCAGAGGAAAATAAACAAAACCCAGACATCAGAACCTACCTGGTGACAGAACCATTAATCAATCAATATTGTTTGATTGTTGCTTAAATTCCTTGGTACCCTTGAGTTCCAAAAATCAAGTTGCTCATGGCACCTGCCCTCAAGAATTTTATAATCTAGCTGGGCAAGCAAGATATATCTGCATGAAAAGACAAACACAAGTACTAATTAAGGCTATGCTTCCACAAACTTGGAGTAAGCACGAATCCCTTTTAAATATGAATATTCCCTTAAATTTGTTGATAATTTTAAAATAATAGTGTTTAAATCTGCACAAACATAAAATATATTATAGTTAGAGCTCTTCTACTAATAAAATTTGAATTAACCATTCTAATTTAGTATGATGGATGCTGTTGTTTGGTTGAAGCCAAGTCTTTGACTCAAGTTTCCTGATTTAGGTTTCTTTTCTGTGGAACAATTGTCACAGCATATGATGAGTAAGATTCTCAACATGCTTAGGACATAGGAGGTATGGAAGTACAGTGGCCCTACTCTCAAGTCACTGATGCCTAGCTCTAGAGAGCAAGTGGAACCTGAAAAGACACTGGGATAGAGGGAGACCTGCATCTAAGCAAGGGAGACAGACTTGTGATTCACATGTTCAGTGTTCTGACATTCAGAGTTTAACCTGGACAAGTGTTTGTAGGTGAGATAAAGGGGCATCTCTCCCCTCACTCTTCAGACCTAGACATGATTGACAGTTAGAAAGACAGCCTTGAGGCCAGGCGCAGTGGCTTACGCCTGTACTCCCAGCACTTTGGGAGGCCAAGGTGGGTGGATCACCTGAGATCAGAAGTTCAAGACAAGCCTGGCCAATATGGTGAAACCCCGTCTCTACTAAAAATACAAAAATTAGCCGGGTGTGGTGGTGGGTGTCTGTAATCCTAGCAACTCAGCAAGCTAAGGCAAGAGAATTGCTTGAATCCGGGAGGCAAAAGTTGCAGTGAGTCAAGATCATGCCACTGCACTCCAGCCTGGGCGACAGAGTAAGACTCTGTCTCAAAAAAAAAAAAAAAAAAGAAAAAGAAAAAGAAAGAAAGCCTTGATTCCTGCCCCAGGTTACTCTTGTGTGTCCCTAAGCAAGTTTACTGAAAATGAAGCTCCTTGAAGCAGACATAAAAACGTACCTGGTGCCTCATCATTGGTCAGAGTCCTTGGCTAACACAGCAAGAATGGAGATTGAGCCAGAAAAACCATGGATCTGACACCACCCAGGGCCAGATTGAGACCACATAATATAATCATACACATATTATCTATATAACATAGAGACACAGTCTCTACATGCGTTTGTCTCTGTTTTTAACAGATTTAGATAGAAGGGTAACAAATTTACAGAACAAAGTGATTTTAAAAGAAAAGAGTTGTCAAGGAGGAGAAAATAGGACAGCGTCTTATAAACAGTGCCTTGTTTTTAGAAGGACTGAAGAAAGGGCGGGAGCAAGGAAAGATAAATTGACTGGTTATTCTGTACCAAGGAAATTTTGTATGTGAAAATTGCAATATTCTGGTCCATTAATTTAGCAATTAATGTCCCTCATCTAATCAAGGGTCCTTGATTTTTGGTTCAGAAAATGCATTTACTAAATAAATAGCTACTCCTTTTATAAGCAACAAAAAACAAAAAGGTTTGGTCACAGAGAGTTTGGTTTCCTCTCTTAACAACTTTTTCTCCCAGAATATGGCTTCAAAGGTATCTATTCTTTGGAGGTGGGAGAAGGCTGTCATCCTTAATGTCAGTCTGAAAAATATAGATAACAGTAAAAAGAGTACAGGGAGCCTTCCTGCCCAGCCTCTGGCCCCTGGCAATGGGGTAGAGCCTGGAGCAGAAACAGGGCTGAGTTCCTGTGCTCCTGCATTCTCCCTAAAGCATGGATCTGGGAAGGTGATGACAGACATGGAAGAATCTGCCTGCATCTCCTATCACCACATCACTAGACTCAAACTCATTACCTCAGGAAGAACCTAGAAATCCCTTTTGTACCAGATAAAAGATGAATGGCTTTGTCTTTAAAATCTGGATGGATTAAGACACATTTCAGAAACACATCTGTTTTGCTTCAGGACCCAGCACATCACAAACCCACAGGCTACAAATGCTAGTTCCAATGAGACTGAAAAGATGGATACACAGAAAATCAGAAAGATTGGAATATATCAGTTGGGAGGGACAGAGCTGTGAGCTGATGGAGTAACTGCTGCACAGTGTGAGGGCTTCATTTAGCCTTTTGGTCTCCATCCTGGCATCACGGCACACAAACAGATAAGTAGAGGTTCTAGAATGTCCACCTGTGGTACATTAACTCCTGCTAAGATGGGCCATTGGGAGGGGTGTGTGATTTACAGAATGACATAAGGTGAAAGCTAATTTATTCCATATAGAGAACAAATTGAACCAAGGTAATAAAGTGCTCCCTACTAAAGATCATTCCAGAACAACTTAGATTGAGGGTGGTTTGTAAATAGAATATGAAGCCTTTAATGACAGATGAACATCTCTAAAATTCTGGGACCTGTGATTAAAACATGTTTTTTTCCCTAAAAGGGCTTTACCATTGTCTGTGCAAACCTGTGTGTATTTAGGATGTGCTAATAATAAACCTTTTCATTTCTAACTGATCTTAAGGTAGCATCTTAAGAAATACACATATCAGTAAGCAGACCAAAAATATGCAACCTCACTTTAAAAACATTTAAATAAGATATGTAATACAGTTTTCATCTATAAGATGGTCATTGAACATTGCTCAGGAGGCTGCAAGAAATGAATCTACTCCTACACTGATCAATGTGACTTGGAGGGTAATTTAGCAATATCTAACAATATATAAAATGCTCTGTTGATAGTTTCTTTTTCTGTGCAGAAGCTCCTTAGTTTATTTAGATCCCATTTGTCAGTTTTTGCTTTTGTTGACATTGCTTTTGGCATCTTAGTCATGAAATCTTTGCCCATGCCTACATCCTGAATGGTATGGCCTAGGTTGTCTTCCAGAGTTGTTATTGTTTGGGGTTTTATGTTTAAGTCTTTAATCTGTCTTGAGTTAATTTTGTATATGCTGTAAGAAATGGGTTTAGTTTCAACCTTCTGCATATGACTCAGAGTGGCTATTATTAAAAAGTCAAAAAATAACAGATGCTGGCAAGGTTGTGAAGAAAAAGGAACACTTACACACTGTTGGTAGGACTGTAAATTAGTTCAGCCATTGTGGAAGACAGTGTGGTGATTCCTCAAAGACCTAAAGACATAAATACCATTCGACCCAGCAATCCCATTACTGAATATATGTCATTCTATTATAAAGATACATGCATATTTATGTTCACTGCAGCACTATTCACAATAGTGAAGACATGGAATCAACCTACATTCCTACTGACAATAGACTGTATTTAAAAAATGTGGTACACATACACCATGGAATGCTATGCAGCCACAAAAAAGAATGAGATCATGTCCTTTACAGGGACATGGATGGAACTGGAAGCCATTATCCTCGGCAAACTAATGCAGGAACAGAGAACCAAATATCACATGTCCTTGCTTATAAGTAGGAGCTAAATGATGAGAACACATGAACATATAGGGGAACAACACACACGCTGGGGCCTATCAGAGGGTGGAAGGCGGGAAGAGGCAAAGGACGAGAAAAAATAACTAAGAGGTACTAGGCTTAATACCTGGGCAATTAAATAATCTGTACAACAAATGCCCATGACACAATTACCTACACAACAAACCTGCACTTGTACCCCTGAAGTTTAAAAAAATTAAAAAATAAAAAATAAAATGATCACATATCATTCTTATAAGCAATCCCATTGCTTAATACCTAATTTACAGTTACACTAGAAGGAAAATGCCAATGAATGTTCCTGCCAGGATTGTTTTTCAAAGCAAAAACAAACAACTACAATTGCTTGTTAAATAACTGATGATCTAGCCATAAGACAAAAGATTACACAGCTATTAAAAAGAAAAAGGGAGTTCGGTGTTATTGTTATACAGAAATTACCAGGTTCTATTTTTCGCTGAAAAATAAAATGTCAATTACCCTGATTTGATCATTACACATTGTATACAGGTATTGAAATACCAATCTGTACCCCATAAATATGTAAAATTACTATGTGTTAATTTTTAAATCTTATACTTAATAATTAAAAATAAAAAAGTACAAAACAACATTGTTGAATGACTCCTTTTGGTATTAATAATAATTACATATATATACACACATGCACACACACAGTTATTTGACTAGAAAACTTTTCTGCAGGGAATCCTGAGTATTAAAAATTATTGCCTCTAGCAGTACAAGGAGGAGCTGGTACCATTCCTTCTGAAATTATTCCAATTAATAGAAAAAGAGGGAATCCTCCCTAACTCATTTTATGAGGCCAGCATCATCCTGATACCAAAGCCTGGCAGAGACACAACAAAAAAAGAGAATTTTAGACCAATATCCCTGATGAATATCGTTGCAAAAATCCTCAATAAAATACTGGCAAACGGAATCCAGCAGCACATCAAAAAGCTTATCCACCATGATCAAGTGGGCTTCATCCCTGGGATGCAAGGCTGGTTCAACATACGCAAATCAATAAAAGTAATCCAGCATATAAACAGAACCAAAGACAAAAACCACATGATTATCTCAACAGATGCAGAAAAGGCCTTTGACAAAATTCAACAGCACTTCATGCTAAAAACTCTCAATAAATTAGGTATTGATGGATGTATCTCAAAATAATAAGAGCTATTTATGACAAACCCACAGCCAATATCAAACTGAATGGGCAAAAACTGGAAGCATTCCCTTTGTAAACTGGCACAAGACAGGGATGCCCTCTCTCACCACTCCTATTCAACATAGTGTTGGAAGTTCTGGCCAGGGCAATTAGGCAGGAGAAGGAAATAAAGGGTATTCAATTAGGAAAAGAGGAAGTCAAATTGCCCCTGTTTGCAGATGACATGATTATATATCTAGAAAACCCCATTGTCTCAGCCCAAAATCTCCTTAAGCTGATAAGCAACTTCAGCAAAGTCTCAGGATACAAAATCAATGTGCAAAACTCACCAGCATTCTTATACGCCAATAATAGACAAACAGAGAGCAAAATCATGAGTGACCTCCCATTCACAACTGCTTCAAAGAGAATACAATACTTAGGAATCCAACTTCCAAGGGATGTGAAGGACCTCTTCAAGGAGAACTACAAATCACTGCTCAACGAAATAAAAGAGGACACAAACAAATGGAAGAACATTCCATGCTCATTGATAGGAAGAATCAATATCGTGAAAATGGCCATATTGCCCAAGGTAATTTATAAATTCAATCCCATCCCCATCAAGCTACCAATGACTTTCTTCACAGAATTGGAAAAAACTACTTCAAAGTTCATATGGAACCAAAAAAGAGCCCACATTGCCAAGACAATCCTAAGCAAAAAGAACAAAGCTGGAGGCACCATGCTACCTGACTTCAAACTATACTACAAGGCTACAGTAACCAAAAGAGCATGGAACTGGTACCAAAACAGAGATATAGACCAATGGAACAGAACAGAGCCCTCAGGAATAATACCACACATCTACAACCATCTGATCTTTGACATACCTGACAAAAACAAGATATGGGGAAAGGATTCCCTATTTAATAAATGGTGCTGGGAAAACTGACTAGCCATATGTAGAAAGCTGAAACTGGATACTTCCTTACACCTTATACAAAAATTAATTCAAGATGGATTAAAGACTTAAATGTTAGACCTAAAACCATAAAAACCCTAGAAGAAAACCTAGGCATTACCATTCAGGACATAGGCATGGGCAAGGACTTCATCTCTAAAACACCAAAAGCAATGGCAAAAAAAAAAAAAAAAAAAAAAAAAAAAAAAAAAAAGCCAAAATTGACAAATGGGATCTAATTCAACTAAAGAGCTTCTGCACAACAAAAGAAACTACCATCAGAGTGAACTGGCAACCTACAGAATGGGAGAAAAGTTTTGCAATCTACTCATCTGACAAAGGGCTAATATATCCAGAATCCACAAAGAACTGAAACAAATTTACAAGAAAAAAACAAACAACCCCATCAAAAAGTGGGTGAAGGATATGAACAGACACTTCTCAAAAGAAGACATTTATGCTGCCAACAGACACATGAAAAAATGCTCATCATCACTGGCCATCAGAGAAATGCAAATCAAAATCACAATGAGATACCATCTCCCACCAGTTAGAATGGTGATCATTAAAAAGTCAGGAAACAACAGGTGCTGGAGAGGATGTGGAGAAATAGGAACACTTTTACACTGTTGATGTGATTATAAACTAGTTCAACCATGATGGAAGACAGTGTGGCGATTCCTCAAGGATCTAGAACTAGAAATACCATTTGACCCAGCAATCCCATTACTGGGTATATACCCAAACGATTATAAATCATGCTGCTATAAAGTCACATGCACACGTATGTTTATTGTGGCACTATTCACAATAGCAAAGACTTGGAACCAACCCAAATGTCCATCAACGATAGACTGGATTAAGAAAATGTGGCACATATACACCATGGAATAGTATGCAGCCATAAAAAATGATGAGTTCATGTCCTTTGTAGGGACATGGATGAAGCTGGAAACCATCATTCTCAGCAAAGTATCTCAAGAACAGAAAACCAAACACCACATGTTCTCACTCCTAGGTGGGAACTGAACAAAGAGAACACATGGACACAGGAAGGGGAACATCACACACTGGGGCCTGTTGTGGGGTGTGGGGAGGAGGGAGGGAAAGCATTAGGAGATACACCCAATGTAAATGACGAGTTAATGGGTGCAGCACACCAACATGGCACATGTATACATATGTAACAAACCTGCACGTTGTGCACATGTACCCTAGAACTTAAAGTATAATAATAAAAGAAAAGAATTATTGCCTTTGGCAAGAAATTTCACTTCGTGTTTTTTAGACTTTCATACTTAGACATTTTGCAATTTTGTATGTTTTATTATTTTTATTTATTTCAATTTTTATCTGTCAGTTTAATTTTCTAACTAAGTTTGTATATTACTTTAATCTACAAAATGTCATCAGCAACCATCTAGACAATGGAGACATGGGCTATTACTGTTTTCTTTCAAATATTTTTACAAACTCCTTAATAAGCATTATTTGAGGCAGGAAAATACTCTTACATTCTCCTCTCATGGCCATGGATTTCTAAGGAAAAGCAGCATGAAATCATGGCCTATATTTGGGGCCCATGCTCTTTTAAAGGCGGAAGGGCAAAAGTGATCCCTCTAGAGTCCTGGGGTGCATATGCTCGGGGGGCTGTGAAGCTGAGACATTGGTGGTATCATCCCTATTCACTTCCAGTTTCCATTATGGAAATGAGCATGCCACTTAATTGCTGAGTTACTGAATATTTTTTCATGCGATCTTATCAATTCCTTAATAGTTAAACAGTATCAGAAGGTAATCTATGATTGAAAAAGTTTAGGTCACCATGTAATAGGGTCTCTTGTAATGTTTACATAGAATATTTATCAGAATTTATAGTTATATTGTTTGTGTGTGCCTATGTTGTTGCATAGTTACATGTGTTTCGGCCAATAGACTGAAGTCTTTAGGGGGCCAGCGTCATACTAATTTCCTCTCCATTTAATGACCAACACTAGATACAGTGGCTGCCATAAAATACACAGAAGAGAAAGGATGTGTTCACAAAACATCCAATAAGTGCTTCATTGAAGAAATATTTGTTTGGTACCTATTTTGTGCTGGACCTTCTCCTAAGCACTGGGGATATAATGTAAATCAGACAAACATGGTTACCAGCTCCTGGGACCTCACAGTCTATCGGTGGAGGCTGATGTGCACGATCAGGGAATTATAATATGGGGTGATAAGTCTAGGCCTGAGCTCTGTGCAAGGTATGTTCTGAACCCAAAATAAAAAAATCAAGGGTAAACTTACTGAGTGAAGTGATGTTTATACTGAGACCTCAGGAATGACCAGGACTTGGGCCAGACATACAAAGATTTAGGAACTGGGAATAGCAAGGTTAAAGGCTCAGAGGCAAGAGACATATGTCATGTTTGAAGAAATAAAACCTTTTCAATATGGAT
Source organism: Homo sapiens (assembly GCF_000001405.40). Classification (NCBI taxonomy): domain Eukaryota; kingdom Metazoa; phylum Chordata; class Mammalia; order Primates; family Hominidae; genus Homo; species Homo sapiens. The sequence continues at coordinate 86,746,277 of NC_000015.10, read as the reverse complement.
GGGTTTACAGAACAAGAAACAACCATTTCTTACAAGGTCATGCATAAGTCATGTGAAGAAGGATGTGCGGAAGGAGTCTACTTCATCTTGTCAATAAGAGCGAAACATAACCAGGTGTGTTGTGAAAACTCTCTTGGGCTACAGTGTGGTGAACAGACTTCAGGGAAGGGAGAAAAGAGGCAGAGGGGAGGCCCTTACTGGGATGAAGTACTAGGTGAGAGGCATAACCACAAGAAGCCCCAACAGGAACCAAATGGGTCACTATCCTGCACTGCCCTGGCTTCTTAGCACATCAAAGAATGGGAGCTGTATTCTCTACCTGAAAGAGAGACATCAGAGTATCTTAGACCAGATGTGCTCTGGTGCCCATGGTGTTGGGCTGTGAGTTTCTGTCCCAAATCTATTGCTGACAGCCTGTGTGAGACCAAGTGCCTGGGGTTCTCCAGGTGTCATGGGAAAGATGAGCTAAATAGATCTTACTGCGTTAACAAGATGTTTTAACTGCCACCAAATAATGACTGGCTACCAGTAGGAGAGGCTTATACACCAAAGACCTGAGTTACAATTTCGGCTCAGCCTTGGACAATCCATTTTCCCCTTTAGGTCTGTTTCTTCACAGATAAAATCGGGAGGTGGGATTTAAATAAAATTTCTGAAATCTGACATGCACCACGTAGTATTTGAAAATGCCAGGCCCTCAATGCCATCTCCCCTTGACCAAGATTTTGGTCCAAAAAACTGGTTCCTACATAAGGTCCAGAAAAAGACTGAGCCTCTCTGGGCAGTAGTTCCCAGTTCTCTGCACCTCCTTTTTAGACCATTTACTGACAACTTTTCCTGTGGCATAGATGCATGTTTAAAACAACGGACTTTGGGGGTCAGACGGCCCTCAATATAATGTTTCACTTAATATTTTCTATACTTGTGTAATTCAGAGCAGGTCATGTAAACTTACAGCCTCTATATTCCCATTTTTTAAATGGGGATAATAATACCCCTTCTTCAAGGTTAATATATTCAGAAAGATTGGGCACAATGCCCATCACATACTAAGACCTCAGCAAATAGCAATTATTTCTATCAAAATTATCTATATGTTTATTCTTAATATGCCAGGATGTCATTCCTTGAATTAAACATACTCTCTCCTTTGTTTTCACTGGTGTATTTTGGTGCTACATATATAAGAAATGGATCAGCAAACAGCAGTACGTCTACGGAAAGACATACTCTATTACCTTGTCTTCCCCCAGTGGTCCACCTGGTCCCAAACTCTTCCTGGCCCCGCTTTTAGCCCTATCCCTAATAGGTACTTCTCGAGAGAGATCAATGGTTTCAGATGAAGACCAAGAGCAGGATAGAGCTGCTCCGCAGATCAACAGAGGTTTGCAGAATGACACCAATCTGGCACCTGGGTCTAGCACTGAATTCACACCAAAAAATTATAATGAGTTAAAGGCAAAGACAAACAACCCATCTCTCAAAACTATGTATTAACTCAACTGATAGAAAATAACAGCGAGTGAGACATCCTGTGAAAGTGTGATTTTCTCCCATATTAGTCTCAGGACTCAGTGCAAAGAGGGAGGGTGGGAGAAACACGGGGAAGGGAGAGCTGATCTATTTTAACTCCTCCCCCCCTCTGGGGGTGAATGTCTCCCTTCTTGCCTTAGTCTAATGTTGATCTATAAAGAAAGGTGCCTCTGCCCTTTGCTTTCGGAATTGATGGTCTTGGACTCCACTGTTATTGCCCTGATTCCCTGAAAGGTCCCTTGATTTATTCCCTTTATATTAGAAAACCATATCTGCTCATTATCTAGGAAGGTCACTGGGAGGGAGATATTTCTTCCAGCTTCAATAGCAGATCACTTGGCCTTGTTTCATATCTCTGTTGGCACGGCAGGAGCTCTGTGAGAATGGGGTAGGCCGGGACAAACAATAAAGGCAAATTTATTCCTGAGCAGAAAGC